>NC_000002.12:16449149-16600664 GCF_000001405.40 Homo sapiens | reverse complement strand
TAATATGTAGCGGGGACATACTATTATTTTCACATTCAATTAATATATTTGAGTACTTATGATTTATCAGGAATGTGATACGTGCTTCTAGATAGATTAAATTGTTTAATTTAACTAGTGCTGTTTCCCTAAATAGAATGTGCATCACCTGAATGCGGAAGCCATGTCTTCTCTCAGTGCATACCCCACCTGTAAGTGCCCTGGGGATTGAGTAATTCTCTCAGAGTAATTGTTAAAGGTAGCATTTTCATTAGAAAACCAAAGGAGGAAGAAGAAACTTGCCACCCAAACTGTTATCAGATTGCCTTTTCGTGGGATAGGCATTGCTTTTTCCTTTTATTTTGCTGTCACCAAGAGAGTCAGTGTTGAGGAAGATAAAGCAGATCTCCTAGGACTGGAGTGGGCAGCCACCCCAAGTCCCCGACTTCAGATTGCTAGAAAATCTACGTGTTAACTTTTTATGCTTTGGCATTTCATTTCTTTTCAGTAGAAGTATTTATGAACCACTTTGGTTGGGTTTTCTTTATTAGACATTTGTTTTCCTTAGACTTTGTGCTATATGACATGGGGTACACATAGACACAACTGTTTGGTTAAAAAGTAAAATCTGGCCAGGCACGATGGCTCACGCCTGTAATCCCAGCACTTTGGGAGACCGAGGCGGGTGGATCACCTGAGGTCAGGAGTTCGAGACTATCCTGGCCAACATGGTGAAACCCGTCTCTACTCAAAATACAAAAATTAGCTGGGTGTGGTGGCGGGTGCCTGTAATCCCAGCTTCTTGGGAAACTAAGGCAGGAGAATTGATTGAACACGGGAGGCAGAGGTTGCAGTGAGCTGAGATTGCGCTACTGCACTCCAGCCTGGGCAACAGAATGAGACTCTGTCTCAAAAAAAAATAAAGTTGGAGGAGGAGCCAAGATGGCCGAATAGGAACAGCTCCGGTCTACAGCTCCCAGCGTGAGTGACGCAGAAGACGGGTGATTTCTGCATTTCCATCTGAGGTACCGGGTTCATCTCACTAGGGAGTGCCAGACAGTGGGCGCAGGCCAGTGTGTGTGCGCACCGTGCGCGAGCCGAAGCAGGGCGAGGCATTGCCTCACCTGGGAAGCGCAAGGGGTCAGGGAGTTCCCTTTCCGAGTCAAAGAAAGGGGTGACGGACGCACCTGGAAAACCGGGTCACTCCCACCCGAATATTGCGCTTTTCAGACCGGCTTAAGAAACGGCGCACCACGAGACTATATCCCACACCTGGCTCAGAGGGTCCTACGCCCACGGAATCTCGCTGATTGCTAGCACAGCAGTCTGAGATCAAACTGCAAGGCGGCAACGAGGCTGGGGGAGGGGCGCCCGCCATTGCCCAGGCTTGCTTAGGTAAACAAAGCAGCCGGGAAGCTCGAACTGGGTGGAGCCCACCACAGCTCAAGGAGGCCTGCCTGCCTCTGTAGGCTCCACCTCTGGGGGCAGGGCACAGACAAACAAAAAGACAGCAGTAACCTCTGCAGACTTAAGTGTCCCTGTCTGACAGCTTTGAAGAGAGCAGTGGTTCTCCCAGCACGCAGCTGGAGATCTGAGAACGGGCAGACTGCCTCCTCAAGTGGGTCCCTGACCCCTGACCCCCGAGCAGCCTAACTGGGAGGCACCCCCCAGCAGGGGCACACTGACACCTCACACGGCAGGGTATTCCAACAGACCTGCAGCTGAGGGTCCTGTCTGTTAGAAGGAAAACTAACAACCAGAAAGGACATCTACACTGAAAACCCATCTGTACATCACCATCATCAAAGACCAAAAGTAGATATAACCACAAAGATGGGGAAAAAACAGAACAGAAAAACTGGAAACTCTAAAACGCAGAGCACCTCTCCTCCTCCAAAGGAACGCAGTTCCTCACCAGCAACAGAACAAAGCTGGATGGAGAATGATTTTGACGAGCTGAGAGAAGAAGTCTTCAGACAATCAAATTACTCTGAGCTACGGGAGGACATTCAAACCAAAGGCAAAGAAGTTGAAAACTTTGAAAAAAATTTAGAAGAATGTATAACTAGAATAACCAATACAGAGAAGTGCTTAAAGGAGCTGATGGAGCTGAAAACCAAGGCTCGAGAACTACGTGAAGAATGCAGAAGCCTCAGGAGCCGATGCGATCAACTGGAAGAAAGGGTATCAGCAATGGAAGATGAAATGAATGAAATGAAGCGAGAAGGGAAGTTTAGAGAAAAAAGAATAAAAAGAAATGAGCAAAGCCTCCAAGAAATATGGGACTATATGAAAAGACCAAATCTACGTCTGATTGGTGTACCTGAAAGTGATGTGGAGAATGGAACCAAGTTGGAAAACACTCTGCAGGATATTATCCAGGAGAACTTCCCCAATCTAGCAAGGCAGGCCAACGTCCAGATTCAGGAAATACAGAGAACGCCACAAAGATACTCCTCGAGAAGAGCAACTCCAAGACACATAATTGTCAGATTCACCAAAGTTGAAATGAAGGAAAAAATGTTAAGGGCAGCCAGAGAGAAAGGTCGGGTTACCCTCAAAGGAAAGCCCATCAGACTAACAGCGGATCTCTCGGCAGAAACTCTACAAGCCAGAAGAGAGTGGGGGCCAATATTCAACATTCTTAAAGAAAAGAATTTTCAACCCAGAATTTCATATCCAGCCAAACTAAGCTTCATAAGTGAAGGAGAAATAAAATACTTTATAGACAAGCAAATGCTGAGAGATTTTGTCACCACCAGGCCTGCCCTAAAAGAGCTCCTGAAGGAAGCGCTAAACATGGAAAGGAACAACCGGTACCAGCCGCTGCAAAATCATGCCAAAATGTAAAGACCATCGAGACTAGGAAGAAACTGCATCAACTAATGAGCAAAATCACCAGCTAACATCATAATGACAGGATCAAATTCACACATAACAATATTAACTTTAAATATAAATGGACTAAATTCTGCAATTAAAAGACACAGACTGGCAAATTGGATAAAGAGTCAAGACCCATCAGTGTGCTGTATTCAGGAAACCCATCTCACGTGCAGAGACACACATAGGCTCAAAATAAAAGGATGGAGGAAGATCTACCAAGCAAATGGAAAACAAAAAAAGGCAGGGGTTGCAATCCTAGTCTCTGATAAAACAGACTTTAAACCAACAAAGATCAAAAGAGACAAAGAAGGCCATTACATAATGGTAAAGGGATCAATTCAACAAGAGGAGCTAACTATCCTAAATATTTATGCACCCAATACAGGAGCACCCAGATTCATAAAGCAAGTCCTCAGTGACCTACAAAGAGACTTAGACTCCCACACATTAATAATGGGAGACTTTAACACCCCACTGTCAACATTAGACAGATCAACGAGACAGAAAGTCAACAAGGATACCCAGGAATTGAACTCAGCTCTGCACCAAGCAGACCTAATAGACATCTACAGAACTCTCAACCCCAAATCAACAGAATATACATTTTTTTCAGCACCACACCACACCTATTCCAAAATTGACCACACAGTTGGAAGTAAAGCTCTCCTCAGCAAATGTAAAAGAACAGAAATTATAACAAACTATCTCTCAGACCACAGTGCAATCAAACTAGAACTCAGGATTAAGAATCTCACTCAAAGCCGCTCAACTACATGGAAACTGAACAACCTGCTCCTGAATGACTACTGGGTACATAACGAAATGAAGGCAGAAATAAAGATGTTCTTTGAAACCAACGAGAACAAAGACACCACATACCAGAATCTCTGGGACGCATTCAAAGCAGTGTGTAGAGGGAAATTTATAGCACTAAATGCCTACAAGAGAAAGCAGGAAAGATCCAAAATTGACACCCTAACATCACAATTAAAAGAACTAGAAAAGCAAGAGCAAACACATTCAAAAGCTAGCAGAAGGCAAGAAATAACTAAAATCAGAGCAGAACTGAAGGAAATAGAGACACAAAAAACCCTTCAAAAAATCAATGAATCCAGGAGCTGGTTTTTTGAAAGGATCAACAAAATTGATAGACCGCTAGCAAGACTAATAAAGAAAAAAAGAGAGAAGAATCAAATAGACACAATAAAAAATGATAAAGGGGATATCACCACCGATCCCACAGAAATACAAACTACCATCAGAGAATACTACAAACACCTCTACGCAAATAAACTAGAAAATCTAGAAGAAATGGATACATTCCTCGACACATACACTCTCCCAAGACTAAACCAGGAAGAAGTTGAATCTCTGAATAGACCAATAACAGGCTCTGAAATTGTGGCAATAATCAATAGTTTACCAACCAAAAAGAGTCCAGGACCAGATGGATTCACAGCCGAATTCTACCAGAGGTACAAGGAGGAACTGGTACCATTCCTTCTGAAACTATTCCAATCAATAGAAAAAGAGGGAATCCTCCCTAACTCATTTTATGAGGCCAGCATCATTCTGACACCAAAGCCGGGCAGAGACACAACCAAAAAAGAGAATTTTAGACCAATATCCTTGATGAACATTGATGCAAAAATCCTCAATAAAATACTGGCAAACCGAATCCAGCAGCACATCAAAAAGCTTATCCACCATGATCAAGTGGGCTTCATCCCTGGGATGCAAGGCTGGTTCAATATACGCAAATCAATAAATGTAATCCAGCATATAAACAGAGCCAAAGACAAAAACCACATGATTATCTCAATAGATGCAGAAAAAGCCTTTGACAAAATTCAACAACCCTTCATGCTAAAAACTCTCAATAAATTAGGTATTGATGGGACGTATTTCAAAATAATAAGAGCTATCTATGACAAACCCACAGCCAATATCATACTGAATGGGCAAAAACTGGAAGCATTCCCTTTGAAAACTGGCACAAGACAGGGATGCCCTCTCTCACCGCTCCTATTCAACATAGTGTTGGAAGTTCTGGCCAGGGCAATCAGGCAGGAGAAGGAAATAAAGGGTATTCAATTAGGAAAAGAGGAAGTCAAATTGTCCCTGTTTGCAGACGACATGATTGTTTATCTAGAAAACCCCATCGTCTCAGCTCAAAATCTCCTTAAGCTGATAAGCAACTTCAGCAAAGTCTCAGGATACAAAATCAATGTACAAAAATCACAAGCATTCTTATACACCAACAACAGACAAACAGAGAGCCAAATCATGGGTGAACTCCCATTCACAATTGCTTCAAAGAGAATAAAATACCTAGGAATCCAACTTACAAGGGATGTGAAGGACCTCTTCAAGGAGAACTACAAACCACTGCTCAAGGAAATAAAAGAGGACACAAACAAATGGAAGAACATTCCATGCTCATGGGTAGGAAGAATCAATATCGTGAAAATGGCCATACTGCCCAAGGTAATTTACAGATTCAATGCCATCCCCATCAAGCTACCAATGACTTTCTTCACAGAATTGGAAAAAACTACTTTAAAGTTCATATGGAACCAAAAAAGAGCCCGCATCGCCAAGTCAATCCTAAGCCAAAAGAACAAAGCTGGAGGCATCACACTACCTGACTTCAAACTATACTACAAGGCTACAGTAACCAAAACAGCATGGTACTGGTACCAAAACAGAGATATAGATCAATGGAACAGAACAGAGCCCTCAGAAATAATGCCGCATATCTACAACTATCTGATCTTTGACAAACCTGAGAAAAACAAGCAATGGGGAAAGGATTCCCTATTTAATAAATGGTGCTGGGAAAACTGGCTAGCCATATGTAGAAAGCTGAAACTGGATCCCTTCCTTACACCTTATACAAAAATCAATTCAAGATGGATTAAAGATTTAAACGTTAAACCTAAAACCATAAAAACCCTAGAAGAAAACCTAGGCATTACCATTCAGGACATAGGCGTGGGCAAGGACTTCATGTCCAAAACACCAAAAGCAATGGCAACAAAAGCCAAAATTGACAAATGGGATCTAATTAAACTAAAGAGCTTCTGCACAGCAAAAGAAACTACCATCAGAGTGAACAGGCAACCTACAACATGGGAGAAAATTTTCGCAACCTACTCATCTGACAAAGGGCTAATATCCAGAATCTACAATGAACTCAAACAAATTTACAAGAAAAAAACAAACAACCCCATCAAAAAGTGGGTGAAGGACATGAACAGACACTTCTCAAAAGAAGACATTTATGCAGCCAAAAAACACATGAAGAAATGCTCATCATCACTGGCCATCAGAGAAATGCAAATCAAAACCACTATGAGATATCATCTCACACCAGTTAGAATGGCAATCATTAAAAAGTCAGGAAACAACAGGTGCTGGAGAGGATGTGGAGAAATAGGAACACTTTTACACTGTTGGTGGGACTGTAAACTAGTTCAACCATTGTGGAAGTCAGTGTGGCGATTCCTCAGGGATCTAGAACTAGAAATACCATTTGACCCAGCCATCCCATTACTGGGTATATACCCAAAGGACTATAAATCATGCTGCTATAAAGACACATGCACACGTATGTTTATTGCGGCACTATTCACAATAGCAAAGACTTGGAACCAACCCAAATGTCCAACAATGATAGACTGGATTAAGAAAATGTGGCACATATACACCATGGAATACTATGCAGCCATAAAAAATGATGAGTTCATATCCTTTGTAGGGACATGGATGAAATTGGAAACCATCATTCTCAGTAAACTATCGCAAGAACAAAAAACCAAACACCGCATATTCTCACTCATAGGTGGGAATTGAACAATGAGATCACATGGACACAGGAAGGGGAATATCACACTCTGGGGACTGTGGTGGGGTCGGGGGTCGGGGGGAGGGATAGCATTGGGAGATATACCTAATGCTAGATGACACATTAGTGGGTGCAGCGCACCAGCATGGCACATGTATACATATGTAACTAACCTGCACAATGTGCACATGTACCCTAAAACTTAGAGTATAATAAAAAAAAAAAAAAAAAAAACACACACACACAAAAAAAAACACACACACACAAAAAAATAAAGTTAAATCTTTGATGATAATCCAAGTATTACTAAAAGAGTAACCACACCATCCATATTTTTAAAAGCATTTGTTTATGTTCGGGAATTTTGCATTGAAAATGGGTTTTAATTTTTGTAGAATTACCTGAGGCCTCTATCACAAACTTACATAAAAATTGTTCTTTTGAAAATTTAGTTGTCTTCCATAATAATTTATATTTTTTAATCAGCTTCTACACTGAATTTTAATAATTCTTAGTTTTCCAATCTCTAATAATATATATCTGCCCCATGTATATTTTGAATATGAAACAAGAAAATGTATTTAAAATACCATGACTTGCATGTAGAAAAGTCTCTTTCAGCTATTAATGCCTATAAGCATTTACCTGGTTATAGTTTAATGTGGAAAAGATATACATAAAGGACCATGAATCTTAGGACACCAATCTTGAAAAATAAAGAAAAATGGAAATCATATGGAATCATATGATGCTGGGGACATTAATCCATTTATTGGATTCCCTGAATATCTTACACTATAAGAGGAGTTGTAATATTGAACAATTATAGGTAATATTTGCCCAGCCCTTTACAGTATACATGGTGCTTTCACACTCAGTTCATTTAGTCCTGACAAGAGTTCCATGCAGGAGATACTATTATCGTACTGTTGTGCAAATGAAGAACCCAAGGCTCACAGCTACAATGATTTGCTCTGGAGTAACAGGCAGTTAGATGGTGCTTTATATTCTTGAGGCTCTTTCAAGCACTCTTTTCTATGATCCTATTCATGTATTACTTACAGTACACACCTTTCTGGGTAAGATTTGGTGTTCAGAAAATACAAACAGGTTAAACTAGAGAAGTACAGCTTTTTGTTTTTTTCTTTTTTTTTGATTGAAAAACAAGGAAAAAGTCATAGCTAAGAGAGAGTCAAGACAAAGAGAAACCTCTGTTTTCTAAGAGAAGAGTCTGTTTCACAGTAGAAGTCATATTTGAGAATGAGCTGAGTCAACACATCATATTGTTACTTTGGCCTACTCTGCTTCAGATTCTCAAGACTGTGTCTTAATCCCTGCAAGTTAGTCCCAGCTTACGATGCATGGGAAAATAGACCCAGCCAATGCCAAGGACCAGTGACCCAGATGCCCAGACACCTTCACTTCAGCAGAGAAGGGGCAGAGTCCTGGAAAATCTAGGCAGGGAAGACTTGCGCCTCTAAGAGTAAAAGGCCTCCCAGAGAGGACATGGATGAAAGGAGGACCACCTTCCAATGCCACTCTCCAAAGCAGGAAACATCCAAATAAAGGATGTTGATTTTCAGGACCCCATCCCTTCATGAGTGCTTACACAACTGGTATATCCTCTCCCGTCTCTTCCTCTGGTAGCCAAGACCTTATACCAGTTTGAGTATCCTTTATCCAAAATGCTTGGGGTCAGAAGTGTTTTGAATTTCAGATATTTTTAAATTTTGGAATATTTATATCATACCTCTTGGTTGAACCTTCCAGATACAAAAATCTGGAGTCCAGTGAGTATTTCCTTTGAGTGTCATGTCAGTGCTCAAAAAGTTTTAGATTTTGGAGCGTTTCAGATTTCAGGTTTTTGAAATTGGAATACTCAACCTGTACTCTCTGTCCTTGTTCTACCTCTACCAGACCCTCCCCACAGGAATGAATTTAGATCTGAAAACTTCTATGTGCACCAGTGTAGCTACATTATGTCCTACATAAGTAGGACTTCAACTTAGAAATGATTTCTGAAGATGCCAAGGGAGTCATTGTGTGTGTGTGAGTGTGTGCATGTACATGTGTGTATATGTGTGTGTGTCTAAAGTAAGCCTAAACTTTACAGTATACACAACATACTATATTTAAGTAATAAACTCAGATACTCAGATTAAAGTCCTCCTAGGGAGCTCAGAGTGCCTGCTGGATTGCCGTATTCCCTCTGATATAAGCTCTCACACCATAGGGAAAAATGGTAAACTGACGTCCCTTGGGATAGACCCAGCAGCAGGTCACATTAAGAGGGTATCCATGGAAACACCAAATAGAATGTAGAAACCGGAGTTCCCAGCCCTTCAGAGTACACCCTAACCAAGCTACTCTGCCACCCATTTGGCTGTGTAACCACAGCTCTGCCCATGGGAGCTCTGAGACTCAGCTCATCCTCAAATATGACTTCCTCTGTGAAACAGCCTCTTCTTTTAGAAACCAGAGGAGATTTCTCATTGTCTTGTCTCTTTTTCCTTTTTTCAGTTAAAAAAACTGTACTTCTCTAGTATAACCTGTTTGTATTTTCTGAACACCAAATATTGAAGGGGACACTTCTTTGCTTTGGCTATCCAGGAGCAGACGATAAGCCATCTCCAACAAATGTTCTGGATGGGATGGCTTATAATTCATCTATTTCTTGCCTCTAGCTTTATCTTACTACTTCACTTTTACTCTCCTACTCTCCCTACTTCCATTATTTATTTGCATTCTCTAATAGTGCATAATAACCAAAGTTATTTTATTGAATGAGATAAAATAATAAAAAAATAAGCTCTATATGAATTAATTAAGCTATTTCATGAGTACTATGGTAATAGCAACGTATATTTTGTATTCACTGATGAGCTGCTTGAAAAAATTGGAGAGTAATCTGTCATGCAGAATATGGATGAGAGGCCTTTCCAAGTGAAACTCTGGGTCCAATTAAAAATAACTGTGGAGTCTACTAGGTGACCATCTGTGTGATGATGGACCAATTCACTTTGCAGATCCCCCTAAACCAGAAGACACTCCCATGAATTCTTATCAACCTTGGAGTGGGGCAGTAAGCATCAAATCATTTGGCCATAATGAGATGAAACACTTGTTTTCTAGGTTCCATGGGACTAGACTTTCTACACAGTGTCCACAGTCATTGTTCTAGAGGTCCTTGCTTGAGAGGTGACACTTCTGGAATCCTGAGAGTTTCAAGTAATTAACCTTGGTTGATGTTAGAATGATGTTCAAAAATATCTGATGATATCAGCCAATCCACTGAGATAACCTTTTGAAGAGACAGAATTCCACAGCCAATATTTGGACATACTTTTACTTGTGTTTGTTTCTATCTGTTATGAGTTTCAAAGGCTTGGCATATCTTCTACTTAGGTACTCTGACAGTAAAATCACATACAGGACAGAATTTTAGGAGGAAGCCCAATCCATGCAAGTCTCTTATGATACATTCATAGCACAAAACTAAGACACCTAAGAATATTTAGCTTCCATCAAAGCACTTTGTATGAAAGTCAGTACTCCTACAAACAGTAAAATCATCTTCCTACAAGAAGTGACTCCAGACCTAATCTGAAATTGTTCCTTAATCTGGAGACAGATCATTTCCTAGAGACCCAGGAGGTTAGTGAATAGTGAATGCTGCCCAGTGGCAGGGATGGACTCTACCAGCCCAACCTTTAATTTGGCAGAACCTACCGCACACAGGATTTTGCTCAAAAATATCTTAAAAGGAAATGGGCATAAAGGCAGGGAAGGAATGGAAGAATGACAGAAAAGACAAAGAATAATCTTTGAGAAGAGAGAAATATGGTGTTTGCTTTCCTGTGTGTGTGTGTGTGTGTGTGTGTGTGCATGCATGCCCAAATATATTCCTACACCTCAAGGTGAGAGATGTCTAGGATGCGTCTAGCCCAGCCTTCTGCCCCACACATAATTCATTTTTCCAACGCTGTTGAGGGCTGTTATAGCATTTTTCTACTTAAATATCGCCAATGAGAGAAAACTCACTATTTCACTAGGCAAGTGACTTAATATTCAGATAACTATAATGTTTAGAAATTTTTTCTCATCATTTCTCTGTTAGTCTTCTCTTTCCTAGCACAGCATACGGCCTATTATAATCCATCTTTCATAGGCTAATCCTAAACAAGCATTTGAAGGCTGTTAGCATAATCATGATGATGATGATGATGGTGACTATCATCATCAATAGTAAAAGCACGTAATTTTTCTTGAGCACTTCCTGTAAGTGCTGTGCTAAGCATTTTATACTTTTATCTGATTAATTCTCACAACTTGATGAAATAGATCCTTTTCAAAAGTTAATTTTACAGATGAGGAAACTGAGGCTTATGGAGATGAAATCTCTTGCCCTGGATAACAGAGGTAGTAGAAAACAGCTGGAATTAGACACCGGCCATCTAACAAAGATAGACTACTTAAAAAGTCTGTCTTCTGATTTCATGTTAGTGATTTATATCGGGGAGTATGTCTGCAAATGTGTGTTTTCCCAGCGGAGGATTATGGAGACCAGATCCCACCACTTGCTACATATTCTCATGCGCAGAGTCATCCTTTCAGTGCATTCTTCTCTCGCCACATCTTGCTTAGAATGGTGTGTTTTTTAAAATTCCTTGTATCAACATAAATATTGTTGGAAACTATAGCCATAGAAAATTGAAGCCCAGCAGTTTCCTTGCACCAGTTCAGTAATTTTTCAAACTGATCCTTCACAAACTGAAATATCTGAGGCACAAGAGTTCACTTACAGCAGAGTTAGAGGAATGTCTTTCCAAGAACACAGTGCCCAGCATCTAATCGCTCCTCCGTAAATATGTGTTGAATGAATGAGTGGATTGATGACTTCCCTAAAAAGATAGTTTAATGTCTAGAGCTGAGAGCAGTAGAAATTTTTCTGTTTATTAAAAAAAGCCCTACATTTTAGCTATTCTTTTTATTAGGTTGAGACTGCTGATATGTAAGAGGTTTGTAATTTTCTGTTGATTTGACTCACCTTTGCAGATGTCTTAGGCTGCAGTTTTACTGAGAGTAACTTTTTGGGCATTATGCCTTTTCATTGTTAAGCTTCCAGAAGTATCCAATCTCATTACCATTGGAATGTCAGATCACAAGATCCTCTAACTTGCCTGGGAGCCACTCCTCTGAGAAATCTGGCCTCTTATACATGTTAAGAGGAGTTCCTGGCAGTGTAAATATATGTTTTCTAAACTCTATTCCTCGTGAGCTTTCAGGAACTTACTTTTTTGGACAGGTATTTTTAAAATGCCGTCTTTGTTGTCTTTCCACTGATGTGACATGTTCCACATCTATCTAAAGGAAACAAAGCAAAGCCGAAACATTTGCTGTAAGGATCCAGGGGATTAGGAAAAGTGGAAGGGAAGCACTTCGGAGAACATTCCTAAACTTTGTCTCCTATAATGAAAATACCTGATTCTTTTCATAGGCTGTTCTTTATGTTTTTTTTTTTTTATATGGTGAACGAGATATGGACTGCAGGTGTATTCTCTCGAGAGAGATTGTAACACTTCTATCATTGTCATAATTTTTATGGCTTAGGCCACATGTCCCCAAGTTTTAGAGACCCAGCACCTCAGAGATATTTATCTGTCACCAATTTAGAAATGAGTTGCTACATTATTGCTCAACCCCTGGGTTGGAGATGCTCTCTTTCTGGTCTTCAAAGGTAGCTATGGGGGGCCCAGGGATATTCACGCAAGTCTATTTTTTTTATGTTGCTAATGGTATTTGGTTTTGTGTTGCCTTTCCTAGGTTTGCTGGGATGGGAAACCTGCTCAAAGTCCTTACCAGGGAAATTGAAAACTATCCACACTTTTTCCTGGATTTTGAAAGTAAGTTCCAAAAATTATAATAATGGAAACTTTTTTACATTCCTTATAGATTGTTGATAAGGAAGTTATAACATAAATATTTATATCATAGTTGAATCAAATCCAAAGGTCACTGTATTAGTCTGTTCTCATGCTGCTAATAAAGACATACATGAGACTGAGTAATTTATAAAGGAAAGAGGTTTGACTCACGGTTCCACATGGCTCAGGAGGCCTCACAATCATAGTGGAACAGTAAGGGACGTCTTACATGGTGGCAGGCAAGAGAGAGCTTGTGTAGGGGAACTCCCCTTTATAAAACCATCAGATCTCGTGAAACTCCTATTCACTGTCATGAGAACAGTATGGGGAAGACCCGTCCCCATGATTCAGTTACCTCCCATCTGGTCCCTCCCACAACAAGTGGGAATTATGGAAGCTACAATTCAAGATGAGATTTGAGTGGGGACACAGCCAAATCATATCAGTCACTATGCATTTTTTTTTCTGAAATCATTTCTAATGTCATTTTCCTTCCTTTTTCCCTAATTTTTAAGAAATCCAATGGAAAATGTGTTTAATGTACCCATGGTTTTCTTTGATTTTAGAAGTGATCAACTTTTGTAGCCCTAGCATAAATAGAGGATCATTTTAGTCTTTGCTTTCCTTTTGAAGGTCGTAAGCCCACATTTATTGAGCACATACAAAGGAAAAAAGATGTGAAGAAAACCATCATGTATTTTTCCTAAAAATGTTTATGAATTACTGTATCACATTCCAAAGAAAGTACTAAGGACAGTAATTTACAAAGATTCATATAAAACAAATATTGCTAAATGTGAAAGAAAATTGTGATCAATACCAGAAATAAGGCTTACAGAATATTTTTAGTCATTTCCTTTATTCTTTATGTATTATTTGATTATACAAACCACTTCAGGATTTTGACATATATCCCTTTTACCCAAAAGGTTATGTTTCTCTTATCAAAAACTACGTTTTCTTCAGGTGAAATGGCTTAAGAATCATGACTGAAAAAAGACAGGGATTTTTTCTTATTTTTTGATTGAATATATTGACAAATGAGAATGAGTATATGAATGAGGAACATTTATGTTTGCTCAAACTAAGCTCATGTTTCTTCCTTAACTCTCATGTTCACCCCTTTTCAAAATTCCAATTTCACAATAGCAAGCACAGTTAACTGTCTTTTTTCCCACTAATCACCATCTGCTGCACACTCTAATGTACTTTAAACTTTAATTTTTCAAATATTTTATCGCCATTAAAAATAATAATTGGAACTTCCTTGCATATAGATTAAACCTTCTAAAAGAAGTTTGCTAAGGAAATGCTATAATACCCTTCTAAGGTGCACTAAACCAAAAGTGTAAGCTCCGTAGGTGTATTTTTTTTTTTTTTGGTGTCTTTGGCAGGTTTTAAATAGCTACTTGAAAAGGAAAAGTGTCCCCAAAGCTTGTATGTTCTGAAAATACATTTAATCTAGTTTATAGTCAATGAAAGATGCCTTGCTTCTGATTTAAATCAGCGTGCTATGTTGTTGTTATTGTTTGGCTTGGTTTGGTTTGGTAAGGGGTTTAGCTAGAGGCAGAGCGAGTTGATATATAAAATGGGCCTTTTTACTGGTTTAACTTTTGATATTCCTCTAAAAAAAACCACACACACACATATATGTTGTTCAAAGAATGGTTTATTAATTTTTTTAAATGTGCAAAACAAATTATCTATATCTTGCCACCCTTCTTTTACTATTTACATGTTTAATTGTTCCCATCCATTTCTTATCAGATGCATTTTACATTGTTGCATTCAATGTGTACAAAGGCCAAAATAGTGGTAACGTGTCCCATTTATTCACAACTGTGGGGGTGTATAAAGGCCTGGGAGTAGGAGACTAACGTGCTTGTTTGTTTTGGAAACCCTAAATTCCGTATGCTTCTGTGCATGCTCATATGTACCTCCCAGAATTCAGTGGCCTCACTTGCCTGTTTAGCTGTTCTTGGAGTCTCAGATTTCCATGCTTCCAGAAAGACCAGTGTTGAGTTCTTGGTCAAGTCTAATCTCAAAAGCCTTTAAAGTGATCCAAGTAGAATTTGCAGGGATTTAAAATAAATGCAGTATTATTGATCCAAGTAGAATTTGCAGGGATTTAAAACTGGTTTTCAACTGGTATTCTCCTGAGCATCAGATTTCTGAGTCTATGTTAGAAAATTCCATCCCCCCACCATAGCACATAGGGGGACGTTGAGAGGTGCTTCTGTGCGCCCCCACCCACTACTACCAGAGTACTCTGCTTTGCCCAGTCTGGTACTTTGAATATTTTCTTAATGTTTTATGTAAAGAAAGGTCATGGTAGCTAAACAGAGCATTTAGAAGTCTCAAATTTTGATGATAGTTTATAGTACTAAAACTCCATTTGTCAATTTAATTTCCTCAAGGGGAAGAAGTGTGGACTGGATTCCCATATCTGGTAGCTTATTACTGGGGCTAGAGCTATAGTATTTAAGGAAGATATAGAACTATAAATTTGTAAACATATATAAAATCCTGCTTATTTTCTCATCAGTCCTATGGATAAGACTAACTTTATTCCACTGAAATTTTGAGAAGATAAATAACTAGGGTGAAGTCACACAGGAAATGACTAGGAAATCAAGATGGGAACAAAGATCTCTGTGGCTCTCCTCCTCCCCTGGTTTTACTTCCCCTAAGTGCTCACCACCAGTAGCTTCCTAGAAGAGCTACAGCAATCGTTCTGTCCCTGACCAGAGAGGGACATCTTAGTTGTCTGCAAACTAAGACATTCCATGGAAAAAAAATTTTTTTATCCTGAAAATCCTATTTCCTAAAGATGATTTTCAAGAAATGATGATGGGCTGGAGGGGTAGGGAAGGTGGGCTGCTATCGTGATTTCTCCTTGAGTCTCTGGATTTCAATTCAGTCCACTAAGGGCATGTTGAATATGGTTGTGAGTGTACTTGTAAGCCACTCAGTGTTAGGGACACAGAAGTAAACAAGAGCAGTCATTGCCCAATGAAGTCTCAGGCTAGAGTGAAGGACAATAGTCACTCAGTTTAAGATGAAATAAATAAAGGACTTACAAGAGCACAGTGTGGCATGACAGTAAGGAAGGAAAAAGAGCATACATCTAGTTTTGGGAAACAGAAGGCCATGGAAGGAATTGGAGAAGTCTTCTTGCAAGAGGTGGCATTTGGAATGGGCCTTAAAGAATGAGTGGTTTTTCTACAGGCACAGATAGGGAGAGTTTTTTAGCAGATGGAAACAGTATGATTAAAGGCATGGAAACTGGAATAGGAAGGGCATGTTTGAAGAACAGCAAGAGGTCCGATTTAGATGAAACACCAAATGCTTGCTGGAGAGAAACGGCGGATGAAATGGAAGGCTGGCTTGGGTTAGACCATGCAAAGTAAGGCTGCCAAGCCTGGGAGCTTAGGGCTAGATGTCCAGCACTGGGGCTTACCTCCAAAGAGAATAGCAGACATCCCTGAGAGAAAACCAGAGAGCTGAGCAGATGGGAACATTAGGCATGCTTATGTTTAAAGGGGGCTTGAGCAGTCCAAGGATCCATGAGAGAGGTCAGACTGTAGAAGAAGGAGGACATCTTACTAAACTGAGATTCCTGGAGGCAGGGTCTGGGCCCCCTCAGTTTTGTGACTCAGCACTTAACCCATGAATGAACCTCAGTAACAGATGCTGATCCCATGAGGGAACAGAGTGAAGCGGGCTCTATCCAGGCAGTCACAAGAGCACATGTGATCAAGAAGGAGGGAGTGTAAATGGATTCAGTGCTGCAGAGCTGTCAAGAAGAATGAAGCTTGAAAAGGGACTGATGAATTAGGCAGTGAGCTGTCCAGTCACTAGTGGCCCCTAGGGGAGCAGATTCCGAATTTGTTGCTTTGAATATAGAGGCTGGATTGTAAAGAGTTAAGGAGGAAGAGATGGTGGGAAGGAGGAAGGCTGAACAGCATGTTGTAACAACTTTAATGAATTTGGCACCTCTACTTTGAGTGTTAAATATTCTTTTTGAAGTTAGTGGTAGAATATAATTGAACTGGGTCAGACAGATATAATTAAGCTGGGTCAAAACAATACAAAATTAGACACATCTGTCCTTAGGTATTCCTGTTGCATAGATCTGATTTAAATTCTCATCTGACCTTTACAGTGCATTCTATATACTTTGTATTCACATTTCTCTACAAACACTTAACATCTTTGTTGTTGTTTTTCATCCCTCTACTTCTTTTTCTTCCCTCTCTACTTCCTTCCCATGTCTCCATGTCCTCTTTGAAGTCTGGGAGACAGGGAGAAATGAAAGATTAATGTAGCAAACTAATCTTTCACGAGTGATGGCTTCAGTTTACAGGAAGAAGTATGTCTGAAGTTCTACTCAAGATTGTGCAACCAGACCCACCATTATGGCACCCAACTTGGGCAGTAGGCATTAACCTTTCAATGAAGTAGTTTCAGTAATTCCAAGGCTGAAATGATCATTAGAAACATCTGGTGAACCTTCTTTTTATATGGTTACCTGAGACTCACCTAAAAAATCAGATTCAGTTGTTTATTCCCAAGAATCCATTTTTCCCACATTTCCAGGTGCTTCTGATGATAAGCTGCTTTGTGAACCACCTTTAATTCATGCATCCAGGTGAGGATACATAGTTAGTGTTTACAACAGGGAAGCTAACCCATGCAACTTTTTGAGCTCCAAGATCCAAAGTTTGGAGTGGAAGATCTCCAAGTTAGGTAGAGGTTCAGGTAGATTCAAATCTCTGCATTCTCACTTCAAGTAAACTATTTATTTTAATCAGCAAATAACTTGATCTATCAAAGATTTCTTTGGGATCTGAGTGGACATTTCTCCAAAGAAAATAAACAAATGGCCAATAAGCACATGAAAAGATGTTCACTATCATTAGTCATGAAGGAAATGCAAATCAAAATGACAGTGAGATTGAATTTCACACCCACTAGGACTGTTCTAATCAAAAAGAGAGATAATAAGGTGTTAGTGAGGATGTGAAAAAAATGGGATTATCATACACCACTGGTAGGAATGTAAAATAGTACATCTGCTTTGGAAAACAGTCTGGAAATTCTTCAAAAGTTTAAACATAAAGCTACCATATGATCCAGCTATTCCACTCCTAGATGTATATGCAAGAAAAGTGAAAATATATGTCCACACAAGAATTTGTACATTAATGTTCATAGCAGCATTATTTATAATAGCTGAAAAGTGGGAACAACCCAAATGCCCATCAGCTGACGAATGGGCAAATGAAATGTTATATCAATTCAATGCAATATTATTGATCAATTAAAAAAATGAAGTACTGATAGGTGATATGACATGGATGAACCTTGAAATCATTGTGCTAAGTGAAAGAAGCTAGTTACAAAGACCACACACTGTTGATTTCATCTATATGAAATGTCTAGAATAGGCAAATTTGTCGAGACAGAAAGATTAATTGTCTAGGCCCGGAGGTGGGGAGAGGGTTGGAGAGAAATGAGGAGTGGCTGCTAATGGGCACAACGTCTTTTTGGGGTGTTAATGAAAATGTTCTAAAACTGATTGTAATGATGGTTGCACAACACTAAGAATATATTTTAAACTGTTTAATTATGCACTTTAAATGGGCAAATCGTATGGCACGTGAATTAAATCTCAACAAAGTTGTAAATTTTTTTTGTTTTTAAAAAAGGATTCTTTTGGAAGATCCAATTCTTTTCTTCTGCCTAATGCTGACATTATTCCGTCATCACAGAATATATTATTTCTCTTCTTTTCCTGGTAACTCCACTTTTTAAATTGTATTTTCATTGGGACATAATTTACATGCACTAAGATGCACTGATCTTAAGTTCACATTTTAGTTGGTTTTGACAAATGCCACACTCTATCAAGACACAGGATATTCATGTCACTCCAGAAAGTTCCATCAAGCCCCTTCCCAGGCAGTCTACCTACCAGACCCCAAAAACAGCTACTGATCAGGTCTGACTTACATTGTAAAAGTCTAATTTAGCTAATCTATAAGTTTTTTAAGTTCATATAAATAGAATCATACAGAATATGCTTTTTTGTATGTTTTTCACTCAATATAATGTTTTTGACATCCAGCCATGTCATTACATGTATCAATAGTTTATTTCCTTTTTGTTATTGAATACTCTTCTGTTGTATGACAATTCGTTTTCATTTTCCTGTTGATGATCATATGGGCTATTTCCCGTTTGGGGCTATAATTAGTAATTGTGCTATAAACATTCTTGTAGAATATTTGTGGGCATTATATTCCTTGGGTAAATACCTAGGAGTGGAATTCCTCGGTGATAGAGTAGTTCTATGTAACTTTTCAAGAAACCAAAGCAACACAATATACCCTTGTAAAAAACTTATACATAGCATATGTACCCACTGGATCTAAAATAAAAATTAAAATAATAATAAACATGCTTATACATACAAAAAAAAAAGAAACTGTGAAACAGCTTTCCAAATGAGATGTGCTATTTTACATTCCTGCCAATAACTAAGCAACTCCAAGTGTTCCACATCTTCTCCAACATTTGGTATTGTCAGTCATTTTCCTGTTAGCTGTTCTAGCAGTGGTGGGGTAGCATCCCATGGTGTTTTTAATTTGCATTTCCATAATAACTGACAGTGTTGAGCTCTTTTTCATGTGCTTATTGTATAGTTGCTTATCTATTTAAGAAAATATCTTGTCATGTCTTTTGCCTAGTTTTAATTAGGTTGTTCGTCTTTGTATTGGTAAATTGTAGGAATTCTTTATTGTACTTTGTATACATGTGTTTTGTAAGCTATATCTTGCAAATATTTTTACCTAGTAGGCTTACCTACTTATTTTCTTATTGATATCTTTTCATGAATGGAAGTTTCAAATTTTGATGAAGTACAGTTTATAATTTTTAAATTTTATGCTAAGCACTTTCTGTATTCTAAGAAATTATGACCTATACCAAGGTCACAAAGATATTTTGCTTTGTTTTCTTCTGAAAGCTGTATTGTTTTAAGCTTTACATTTAGATCAGTGACTGATCTTCAACTAATTTTTGCATATGTTGTGAGAAAGGTATTAGGTTTATTATTTTTTCATAGTCCATAATATTGTAGTAGCACAGGTGGATTGCTTTAATGTCCATTTTGTAAATTTGCTAATTGTAATATGTGTGATATGGGCTACTTCAGGACTCTCTGTTTTCTCTGATTACTCTATTGATCTACCTTCTCACCAATTAATACCAAATATAACAAACAATAGGTCTTAGAGTCAAGAAAGAGTAAGTCTTTTAACTCTTTTGGAAGACTGTTTTGGCTATTCTAACTCCTTTACTTTTCTAAGTAAATTTTCTAATTAGTCCTTAGTTTCTACAATAAAAAATTCTACTGGGATATTGATTATAATTGCATCAAATCTATGGAACAATTAGGGGAGAATTGCCATGTGTGTAATATTGATTTTTCCTATCTGTGAATATAGCACATCTTTCCTTTTATTTATATATCATTTAATTTTACTCATTAATAGTTTACAGTTTTTAATATAAAAGTGCTGCCCATCTTTTGTCAAATATACCCCTAAGCATTTTATATTTTGATTATACCAGCTTTTTTATGGTTAGTGTTTAACATGGTATATATTTTCCCATTCTTTTGCTTTCATCCGTTTATGTCTTTATCAATATAGTGTGTTTCTTGTAAACAACATATAGCTGGTCCTAGCTTTTTCATCCAGGCTGATAATATCTGCCTTTTAGGCTGAGCACAGTGGCTCATACCACCATACCTTTGGGAGGCTGAGGCTGGCAGATTGCTTGAGCTCAGGAGTTCAAGGCCAGTCTGGGCAACAAAGCGAGACCTCATCTCTACAAAAAATACAAAAATTAATTAGGCATGGTGGCATGCACCTGTAGTCCCAGCTACTCAGGAGGCTGAGGCAGGAGGATTGCTCGAGGCCAGGAGGTGGAGGCTGCAGTGATCTGAGATCACACCACTGCAGTTCAGTCTGGATGCTAGAGTGAGACCCTGTCTCAAAAAAAAAAAAACTTCCTTTTAATTGAATACTTAGTCCATTTACATTTAATTAATGTTTACATATATGTTTAATTAATGTTTGTATTTGAGCTTAGTATTTGAGTCAATACAATTAATTATTGTATTGCATTAATCAATGTTTATATTTGAGTCTATCTTGGTGTTATGTCTATTTGTCATATTTGCCTTCTTTTTTTCTTCATGTTTTTCTGATAAATCAAACTGTTTGGGATACTCTATTTTGGTACTGTATTTTGTCTTTTCTGTTGACTTTTTAGTTGTGTCACTTTTTGCTTGCTTTAGAGATTATAATATAGACGATTGTGATCTGCCTTCAAAATCTATTCTTTACATAGTAAAGAAATTAAGAACTTATCACAGTATACCTGCAAATTAACACCTTTTCACTTTGTGCTTTTGTTATGTATTTTGCTTCTATATATGCCATAAGCTTCTCAATGAAATGTGTTTTTTTATTTTAAATTGTCAATTATCATTTAAGAGAGAGAGAGAGCGAGTGTGTGTGTGTGTGTGTGTGTGTGTGCATGTGCATGTGATTTTAATAAGGCCTTCATATTTACTTGCATATGTATTTACTTGTTCTGGTGTTCTTCATTCCTTCTCACATAACAAGGTCTCTCTGGTGTCATTTTATCCAAGTCTAAAAAACTTATTTTAATGTTTCTTTTAGTTCAAGTCTATTAGAAACAAATTCTTTGAGCTTTTATCTGTCTAAATATATTGCTATCTAACTTTCATTTTTAAAGGATACTTACATAGAGTTCTAGATCCACAGGTTTGGGGGATTTTGGAGTTGCAGTTATTGTTTGCTTTGTTTTTCTTAAAGCACTTGAAAGAAGTGATCCCATTGTCTTCTGGCTTTCATTGTTTCTGATGAGAAGCCATTTTTATCATTGCTCCCCTAGATGTAATATGCTTTTCTCTGGCTGCTGTCAATAATTTATCTTTATTTTTGTTTTGTAGTAGTTTCACTATGATGTGCCTGGGTATGTTTTCTTTGTAATTATCCTGTTTATGGTTCTCTAAGTTTCCTGGATCTATGAATTAATACCTGTCATTAATTTTGAACATTCTTGCTTATTATCTTTTCAAATGTCTTTTTCTGTTTTCTTCTTCTTCTTCTTCTTCTGGGACACCAATTATATAAGTAAGGTGATTTGACATTGCTTCACAGATCTCAGATACTCTGTTCTATTTTTTAAATTCTTTTTTTCTTTGTATACAGTTTGTATAATTTTTATTGGTCTGTCTTCAAGTTTACTGATACTTTCTACTAATGATAAATGTATCAAGGAGCTTATCATTAGTAGAAACCATCTAATGTGGAATTTTTCATTTTTAGCATTTCCCTTTTCAATGGCAAAAACAGCAATTACTTTTGCACCAACCTAATAAATAGTCTCAAAGGATTTTCTGAAATTTTCCATTTTTACCATACATTATTCAACATTATAGATTCTTTAACATATTTTTATAGTTATTTTAGGATCCTCGTCTGTACATTTCAACCTCTGGACTATCTCTAGACTCTATTATTAATCTTTACTTTTCTGGTGATATTTTCTTGCTTTGTGTTTGTTAATTTTTTTCCTTTGCTTTTTTTGAACAAATGCCAGGCAGCAGAACAGTGATGACTGATGTGAATAATACGTGCACTCAGAAAATCACATGCCTTTTCTTCTGTCAGTCCACTAGTGGGGTTGAGTCCATCCAATCTGGATCTGGGCTACACTGTTGCTTGTTATACGTGGTTCACTGTAAATTTCAGATTTGAGGGAAGGATCAAAGCAGGCCCTTTACCAGAGCTGGGGATCTGAAGAGTTTGTCTCAGTTTTCCTGTCACATCTTCAGGCTTCAGAAGGCCCTCCAGAACACCTGATTCTCAGGATGGCGTTTCTCAACCTCCTTGGCCTCACCAGGCAGACAGTTGTTCTTTACTTACTGGAGAGTGGCTGGTGGCTTTCTCTTCATTTTTCTGCTCTGTCTACCACAGCAGGCCTGGCATGGTGGGCCCTAGAGGGCACCTTCCCAATGCTCCTCCCCTCCCGCAGTCATAGATGGCCACACTTCACCCTTAGATAAGACTGAGAGTGTAGGAGCATTTCTCTTGTGTATCTTCCCCTGACCCAGAGGGTTTCTGTCTTAAAATCTTTTTTCCTTTCTTGTTCTCAACTTCTTTTGTTAGCACTTGGTGAAGGTTCATGGAAGAGACTTTGCAGGCTGACATAGACTGTCCTTCTGCCTGGAGCTCCCAGGGCCTCTCAGCTTTCATGACACTTCACACTCTTCTTTTTACAGTGTGTGAAGATGTCAGCTATTTTCTTGTTACCTGCATTTATGGCAGCTTTCTCCTTTTACCATTTCTCTGTCAAACTTGAAATCACCTGTGGTGTCATATCTCCTAGGAAAGTCTTGTCACCTTATGGATTATAATTCATTAAAGACTTTTGCAACCTCAACTTTCTTATAGTCAAAAATAACAAGGATTTTGTAGAGTATCTAACTTGTTTTCTTGTTAGGGTGAGCGCAATATTCTTTGTGAATTTTACTTCTTTTTAAAAAATATGAAAATGTGTTACATATTTATATCTAAATGTGTTACAGATATATATCTAAATTAACATTATTTTGTATCATCTAATATATAGTATGTATAGATATTTCTCTGATTTTCTCAAATGGCATTTAATAGGTTTTTTTACCTTAATAAGAATTGAAATGAATTCACAAAATATATTGGATTATGTTTCTTTTCTTTTTTATTATGGTAAGAAGACTTACCATGAGATCTACCCTCTGATCAGATTTTAAGTGTATAATACAGTATTTTTAACTGTAGGCAAGTTGTTGTAGCATAGATCTCTAGAACTTATTTATCTTGCATAATGGAAACTTTATACCCATTGATTAGCAACTACTCATTTTCCCTTCCCCATGCCCAGGAAACCACCATTCCACTCTCTGTTTCTATGACTTTGACTCCTTGAAGTACCTCATGTAAGTGGAATCATGCAGTTTGTGTTTTGCTGTTACTTGTTTATTTTGCTTAGCATAATATCCTCAAGGTTCATTCACGTTGTTGCATATGGCAGGATTTCCTTCTTTTTTTAAGACTGAATAATATTCCATTGTATGTATAGTCTACATTTCCTTTATCTGTTTATTTTAAATGGAAACAACTCAATACTTTTGGTTCAATTTTTCACATTATCATAAAAGGGGTATTCTACGTGCTAAGCTTCTGCTAGTCGTGGTGTGAATAGCTGCAAGTTTACACTCTACTGGAGGAGGCAGACATAATGACCAACATCAATAATGCAATATTGGTAAATGCTGTAGCAGGGACACGACCTGTGCTCCAGGATTCATAGGAGAGAATAACTAATTTGATCTGAGAAAAGATAGAAGAGACAGTTGCAGGAGGACAATCCTGGGAAGATTTCCAAGACAGGGTGAAATAATAGCTTCGACGATGCCATATTTTACATCTTCCTTTCTGAGAAACTTTCTTAGCTTCCACTTACGTTGTTCCTGAAAAAAGTCTCTATATTCAATGCCATTTAGCTCTCACTGCATGATGACTTTTATTATACTGTTTTACTAAATTGTTACTGATAGTTCGTAACTTTCACTTTAGGATGTCAGTCTTATTTTATTAATTACTTCATCCTCCGCATCACCTGTCACTGTGGTAGGCATATAACAAGTACCCAATAAATGCTTTCTGAATCTAATGATCCTGTCCTCACCCTCCTAAGGTCCTTGAGGACAGGAACTATATCGTTGAATCCATATCTCCCAAAAGTGTCTGGCATCATTGGCACTTAATAGGCTGTATTAGTCTACTTTCATGCTGCTTATAAAGACATACCCGAGATTGGGCAATTTACAAAAGAAAAAAGTTTAATGGACTTACAGTTCCATTTGGCTAGGGAGGCCTCACAATTATGACAGAGGGCAAGGAGGAGCAAGTCATGTCTCTTACCTGGATGGCAGCAGGCAAAGAGAGAGAGCTTGTGCAGGGGAACTGCTCTTTATTTATTTATTTATTTATTTATTTATTTTATTTATTTATTTTTATTTTTTTGAGATGGAGTCTCGCTCTGTGGCCCAGGTGGGAGTGCAGTGGCGCAATCTCGGCTCACTGCAAGCTCCGCCTCCTGGGTTCACGCCATTCTCCTGCGTCAGCCTCCCGAGTAGCTGGGACTACAGGCGCCCGCCATCACGCCCGGCTAATTTTTTTGTATTTTTAGTAGAGACGGGGTTTCACCGTGTTAGCCAGGATGGTCTCAATCTCCTGACCTCGTGATCCGCCCGCCTCGGCCTCCCAAAGTGCTGGGATTACAAGCATGAGCCACCGCGCCCGGCCGGGAACTGCTCTTTATAAAACCATCAGATCTTGTGAGACTTTTTCACTATCACAAGAACAGCCTAGGAAAGACTTACCCCCATGATTTAGTTACCTCCCGCTAGGTCCCTCCCACAACATGTGGGAATTCAAGATGAGATTTGGGTGGGGACACAGCCAAATCATATTATTCTGCCTCTGGCCCTTCCCAAATCTCATGTCCTCACATTTCAAAATCAGTCATGCCTTACCAACAGTCCCCCAAAGTCTTAACTCATTTCAGCATTAACTCAAAAGTCCAAAGACCAAAGTCTCATCTGGGATAAGGCAAGTCCCTTCCACCTATGAGCCTGTAAAATCAAAAGCAAGTTAGTTACTTCCTAGATACAACAGGGGTACAGGCATTGGGTAAATACAGTTCCAAATGGGAGAAATTGGCCAAAACAGAGGGGCTACAACATGATCTCTTTTGACTCCATGTCTCACATCCAGGTCACACTGATGCAAGAGGTGGGCTCCCAAGGCCTTGGGCATCTCTGCGCCTTTAGCTTTGCAGGGTATAGCACCCTTCCTGGCTACTTTCACAGGCTGGTGTTGAGTGTCTGTGGTTTTCCAGGCACACAGTGTAAACTCTTGGTGGATCTACCATTCTGGGGTCTGGAGGATGGTGGCCCTCTTCTCACAGCTTCACTAGGCAGCACCCCAGTGGGGACTCTGTGTGGGGGTACCCGTCCCACATTTCACTTCTGCACTGCCCTAGCAGAGGTTCTCCATGAGTGCCCCACCCCTGCAGCAGATTTCTGCCTGGACATCCAGGCATTTTCATACATCTTCTGAAATCTGGAGATTCCCAAACCTCAGTTTTTGATTTCTGTGTACCTGCAGACTCAGCACCACATGTGAGCCACCATGGCTTGGGACTTGCACCCTCTGAAGCCACAGCCTGAACTGTACCTTGGTACCTTTTAGTCACAGCTAGAGAAACTGGGATGCAGGGAACCAAGTCCCTAGACTGCACACAGCAGAGGGACCATGGGCCTGGCCCGCAAAACCATTTTTTCCTCCTAGGCTTCCAGGCCTGTAATGGGAAAGTTCTCTGACATACCCTGGAGACATTTTCCCCATTGTTGTCTTGGCAATTAACATTTGGCTCTTAGTAACTTATGCATATTTCTGCAGCCCTCTTGAATTTCTCCTCAGACAATGGGATTTTCTTTTCTATCACGTTGTCAGGCTGCACATTTTCCAAACTTTTATGCTCTGTTTTCCATTTAAAACTGAATGTCTTTAGCAGCTCCCAAATCACATCTTGAATGCTTTGCTGCTTAGAAATTTCTTCCACCAGATACCCTAAATCATCTCTCTCAAGTTCAAAATTCCATAAATCTCTGGGGCAGGGGCAAAATGCTGCCAGCCTTTTTGCTAAAACATAACAAGAGTCACCTTTCCTCCAGTTCCCAACAAGTTTTTCATCTCCACCTGAGACCACCTCAGCCTGGATTTCATTGTGCATATCATTATCAGCATTTTGGTCAAAGCTATTCAGCAAGTCTCTAGGGAGTTCTAAACTTTTCCACATTTTCCTGTCTTCTGAGTCCTCCAAACTGTTCCAACCTCTGTCTGTTATCAAGTTCCAAAGTTGCTTCCACATTTTCAGTTATCTTTTCATCTGCACTGCACTGTACTGGTACCAATTTACCGTATTAGTTCATTTTCACGAGCTACTGATAAAGGCATACCTGAGACTGGGCAATTTACAAAAGAAAGAGGTTTAATGGACTTACAGTTCCACATGGCTAGAGAGGCCTCACAATTATGGCAGAAGGCAAAGAGGAGCAAGTCACTTCTTACGTGGATGGCAGCAGACAAAGAGAGAGAGTTGTGCAGGGGAACTCCTCTTTATAAAACCATCAGATCTCATGAGACTTATTCATTATCACAAGAATAGCATGGGAAAGACTTGCTCCCATGATTCGATTATCTCCCACTGGGTCCCTCCCACAACACGTGGGAAATCAAAATGAGATTTGGGTGGGGACACAGCCAAACCATATCATAGGTGCTTGATAAATGTGCTTCATTGATTTTCCTATTATCTCATAACATTCTACTCTCTGTCTTCAATTCTGGATTTTATCTTTCTCTCATACCTTGGCTGGGTACTACTTTGGAAATGTAGAATATTTGATCAATGTGTTAGAATTAACTGCAGGGAGAAGTCAGTCTGTTAGTGCCAAGAATCAGTCGTCCGGTGGTTAATCACCAACTGTCTGAGACACTGTCAGGGATCAAGCCTTGGTAGTTTTCTTCTGCAAATGTATGTTTGTCTCCTCATTGTTGTACACATCCCTGAAGGGAGAATTTAGATGGCATCTTATGCTTATATTATTCTGTGTCTTATCCAGTGTCCAGCCTAGGGCTGGGCATGAAATGTAAGCTGAGGAACACTGGCTTTGATTGACAGTCACCAATGAAGAAACTATATGCAGAACATCTCTTGCATTCCTCGGGCAGAAACGGCAGTAGTGGGGTGTGGGTTCTTAGTGTGTCAGGGGGCCTGGAGGGATGAAATATAGCACATAAATATAGGGACATTGGAAGAACATGATCTCTTGTTCAAGAAGCTTATAATTTTGTTGAGGAGATAAGATGTAAGCACATGGAAGAGACAGTAGTGCAGGTAGTAGGGAAGAAGTCTGTAACAGAGCAGAGAGTAAGTGATATGCTAGCCAGAAGTACAAGTTCTGGATTTGACTAAAGAAATGTTTCTTGAAGACAGTGGCTGAAAAAAATGGTTTTCTTGCAAGACAAACTCACATTAATTAACATAATAGGAATGCCAAGATCAGTAATGGATGTGGTGGGGGCTGGGGTGTAAAGAAAGAAATTCTAAAGTCTTCAAATCATTGTACTCTTAAAAATACTCTGACTATGTTGACCTATTCAGAATATAGACTCCTACTCTTTAAAACAAGGGTGTTGAGTCAGATCAGCCTATCATCTGGGATCGTTGCTGTTGTTGCTAACTCAGACCACTCCCTGCCACTATTGGTTTCTTCTTTCATCTGTTCTTCTCTGCTGCCCTCCCATCTGCTAAGCTGTTCAGAGGAGGCTTGATAATCTTGGAAGAAGAGGGGAAGTATCAGATGTCTTTTTGTCTAGTATCCTCATTTTACAAAAGAAAACAAACAAACAAAAACAGAACATACCTGGGAAGCAGTTTTTTGATGGCAATACAAAGATTCCGTGACAAAAAAAAAAAAATTCATTTTTTGGCACTTTTGCTTTTTAAGTGCTTTAAATCTATTCCATCATCTTCATTATGACCCTGCAGGTAGGGAGGAGACAGGCTATTCTTAGCTTCCCTCTCTTTTAACAAGAATGAATCTGGACCCAGAGAGATTACTTGGCTTGCCCTGAGGTCTAATATTGAGTGGCAGTGAAACCTGGTCTCAAAAATGCCATCCTTGGACTGCTCCCATCACAGGGTCCCACTGCATGTGAAGAAAATAGACAGCCTGCAGGAACTTTGACCCTCCTACTCTTTTCAGTCCTAATGTGATTGTTCTATAGAAAAGGGCTTCGGGCCCTGGTGTAAGATGACTAATGTCCTCTAAGAGTAAATATGCCGGCCCTGTCACACATATTTGCTGGCAGACCTTTTCCATTTTATTCTGTTTTCATAAACAGTTAGTATTGTGCTATAAATCACTTCCATTTTACATCCCCACATATTAATAATAGATAATTATTTATGCTTCTTAGTTTAGCCTGAAGGGGAAAGAGATTGGAGGAGAGAGGAAGTGGGTGGGAAAGAAGGGCAGAATTTAATTTACAGCTTTGGCGAATCCATTTTGCTGTACTTTTTTTCAGTGTTTATACAACAGTCATGGGGCACAGAGATAGCTATATATCCTATTGATGAAATGCCAGGGCATCTTTCAAAACCAAAGACATCTCTATGTAAATGGTGTTTTCTACTCACATTATCTTAGTTTAGTTTGATTCTCTGTCAAATTGTCCATACAGTCCTAAACGGGTTGTTAGGAAAATGTGTATATGTTACTGGTGCATTTGAAGACAGTGTAAGTCCTTGGCCGATCTATAAAAATTAGAATACATGGATTTGATAGCCCTTCTCCAGTGCAAGCCCTGCTGTCGTGCCCTGTGGCAGGTTCACCGAAGACCTTCCCCAAAAACAAAGCACATAGCCACCTTCTTCTCCATTAGCATCAAGGAGTGCCGTGCATTGGTTTAAATAAATATCACTCTTCTCCACAATGAAATCTTCCACCCTGCCTCAGGTGACAGCAAAGTATTCACAGTTAATATTCACCAGCATTAACAAATTGAGCCCCTGCAAACAAAACTAATCCTGTTTAACTATCTTAATGTATAAGGTACTTATGCTATTGCAAATTCTAGACACTTTGAATTTAGTGAGTTCTTGACAACAAATGTATATGTGTGCAAGGTCGCAGGGCACTTGATACATTTTCAAACTTTCCACAGTAGCAAGTCCAGAACAGGACTTTAAATCATCCCCCCACATAATGTCCTGGATACACTTGTTCCAGGGCTCCTGGAAGTATTGGTTTCTGAAACTGCCCATGTAAATCACAGAGATTTTTAATAGCTTTATTGTTAGACAGGAGTAACTCCAGCTTTATGTAACCATTCTCCTCAATTTCCGTGAAATAATTGGCAATGGTTAGAAGCTTAGAATATGGTTCTTAGAAGGAACATTACCAAAGAAAACACTGGCTGCAACTAGAAATAAGGACCCATTTTCACCAGTAACATTGTTGGTGTGTGTGTGGTGGGGACTGTTTGTACCTTTCTTTGACTAAAGTTCAGTCTTTGTGTTAAAAATAGAAAAGCCAAGCACACAGTTCACAGCTCCTCTTCACTCAGCAGATGCTTTAAGGGGTTGCTGATAGCTTAAATTTAGTAACCTTTTCAATCACTAATTCTTCAGGGTTCCTTTCAAGATGTCTTTCCACGACATCTGAAAACACAATAAATTTCAAAAACATGTTCACCACTTGAATCTGAATATCGAGAAGGCCAAGTGTAAGACTCCAAAGCCTCTCAAAGGGATTTTCCAGATGGCAAAATGATAACAGCTTTCAGATTAGAAACGTAAACCTAAGTGCAGTTTTTCACTGTGTCAGACTCAACAAATACCCTATTAGTGTGTTAACCACACTGGTGAGACATTCAGGCCGTAGATCAATAATGGATGATTTGAGAACATGGATGTTAATGAAAGAGTGGATGGCCAATTTGACTGTAGGTAAATACCTACATCTTAATGGTAACCAGGAGAGATATAACTATACAAAAGCCATTTGAGTGCAGTGAGCTATGATGATACCACTGCACTCCAGCCTGGGTGACAGAGCCAGACCTTGTCATTTAAAAAAATAAAATAAAGTCATTTTGGGAGTAGAGACAGAGGAGAGGATCTAAACGTAATAGGACCTTTACTTACTACACTGCTTTCAAGTACCCAGCATTCTATCCCATCTTACCAATTTCTTCGTGTATTCATTGATTCATCACACTTTTATTGCCTGTCTCCAATGGCCTTCTCAAAAGATCTCAGAATTCAAAGACAAGCAGAAGAAAAATCACAAAACAGTGTGAGTAGTATATTTAAATTGTTCAACTGTTTGTTCAGCAAATTTTTCTTGAGCATCTACTATGTGCCAGGCCCTGTGCCAGATCCTAGAAATATAATGTCAAGTGAAACAGATATGACCAGAGTCCTACAGTCTAATGGATAAGATTTTCATTAATTAGTTCTGACTGTATGATTATTTAGCTGGGGGATGAAAATAGAATGAATCATGGACTTCCATAGGGATTTAGGCCAATGTCACATGTCACTGTGGGTCACACAGTTCTTTTCCCATTTGAAAAGAGAGACAGACAGACAGACTAGAGCTTCTCCCAGTTGTCACTCTCTTCCTTGAAAGCTGACACCACTTGTGATTTGAGTCCCCTGAGAATCTTATGGCACTCTGGCCCAGAAGGCAGGAACTGTGCTGCCCGTCTAATTATAGCTGGAAGAGGTGACTTCAGTTTCATGACAGGAAAGAAGGAAGAAATTGGACATCCAATAAAACCAACAAAATTTTGGATGAAAATGAGGCAACATATTTCTAAGCCTGGAGGAAAGATGGAAATGATGGAGTGGCTTTCTCCTACCGCATCCCACCACTGCTAAACCACATGAGAAATATTTCTAATAGGACACCAGGAAATCTGCCAAAAGAAACAGTTTCTTAGGGAGGCTGAGGACTGAGGGTCCTGTCTTATAGATCACCCCAGCTGCCAGGAGAGAATTACTGTAGGATGGAAGGTATTTGTTTACCACAGCCCCTGAAGTCCGCCTCCTCTGGGAGAGAAGTGGTACCAGCCCCCTGGTTACTCATGCAACTCTGTGGTCATATAAATGTCAGTGCTGATTTGTTGAAAGGTCCCTTCACCTGGGATGGAGAGCGCAGCTTGTTTGTCTCTAGTGCCAGTACCTTTTTCAGGCCACCCTATCAGAAACAGTCTTATTTTTGAAACAGTTAAGAGAGGCCTCTATTTTTAAAGACTGACTTGAAATCTTTCTTTTTTTCTGTTTAAGTAATCATCAACAGGATTTTTTTAAAAAAAATTTCCAGCTCTCCTCTCTGGCCCACTTAGTTTTAATTCTGTTTTGTCTAAAACTTATCAAGCGGTGATTTGCTAGGGTGGAGCCAGGTGACCGCTGAGATTAGAAGGCTTTCTGTTCTGGCCTCAGAGTGCCTTCTTCTTTCCCATACTATTTTATAAATATACTCAAATAGTCTTAGCCCTGAGAATCTTGGTCACTGACTATCTTGCTTTTCTTCTTCTCCAAATACATACATCTCTAGGAAACTGTCTTTGTTTAGCTTATGATTTTTCAAAAGGAGACAGGATTTGAATAGTCAGTGTTTTATTTTTATTTGTTTTCTAGGCTCGTTGCTTTGCATTTTTTCTTATGTTTTCTTCCCTGACACTTTCCTTACTCAGAAACTGCCAGGCTTACCCTGGAATTCTATTCTACCAGAACACTTTCTCCAGTTACGGGCCTCCTAGCTTGTGGATTTTTAGGTTTGTGTTTAAGACACTTGCATCACTTTGAGAAAAGTTTGAGAAAGCAGAAAAAGGTAAAATACAAAGTGATTAATATTGTGAGTAACATCATATCTGAGAAAACTTACCAAATGTTTTTGGGAAACACTGATAGGCCATAAAACCTGAAAAAGTTCAGGTTGAATACCCCTTATCCAAAAACGCTTAGGACCAGAAGTGTTTCAGATTTGGGTTTTTTTTTTTTTTTTTTTTTTCTGATTTTGAAATAGTTGCATTATACTTACCAGCTGAGCATCCCAAATCCAATAAGCTGAAATGCAAAATACTCCAGTGAGAATTTTCTTTGTTGCACCATGTGGGCATTTAAAAACATTTCAGATGTTGGAGCATTTCAGATTTTTGGATATGGGAAGCTCAACCTGTAATAAATGTCTTTTTCCCTTACTGTCTCCAGTAGATTGTTTTCTAACCTAGCAGGTTTGTTTGTTTGTTTGTTTCCCCAGCCTTGCTTTCTCCAGCTGCCAAGCCTTTGTCCAAGCTGTGCTCTCTTCATGAATATACTCCATTTCACCTTCCATTGCCCCAGCTCAAGTTATATCCCTTACATGTAACTGTTTCCACTCTTTCCAGACCACATTCATCTTCTCTTTCTCTGAGTCCTTGTGTACAGACATTCCAGTACCTCCTTACTTCCTAGTTGAAATGGTCTCATTCTTTGAATGTATAGTTTGCAAAGTTTCTGGATAACCTATGAGGACCTATGATCTTTTCTTCAAAGAGAATTGCCATGGCACTGATGATTTTCACTCTTCATTTCTTAGGAAACTCTACCAGTTTCTCAGGTCTTAGGCAGCAGGACCTGGTGAGTCACCTAGTCTAAAAATCTCCATGGGCTCCGGTCATGGAGAGTTTAGGTAACTGAAGCAGGAGCAGCCACCCCGCCTCAGTTCCTCACCGATCTCAGCATTTCTGAACACCAAGTCAGCATAGCCAGTGCCCCACTTCGCCGTCACTTATCTTGTGAATTCTGTCTTTTGTTTTTTTGTTTTGTTTCATTGTTGTTGTTGTTGTTGTTTTTTGAGATGGTGTCTCACCCTGTTGCCAGGCTGGAGTGCAGTGACATGATCTCAGTTCATTGCAACCTCTGCCTCCAGGATTCAAGCAATTCTCCTGCCTCAGCCTCCCAAGTAGCTGAGACTACAGGCATGCACCACCATGCCCAGCTAATTTTTGTATTTTTAGTAGAGACGGGGTTTCACCATGTTGGCCAGGTTGGCCTCGATCTCCTGACCTAGTGATCTGCCTGGCTCAGCCTCCCAAAATGCTGGGATTACAAGTGTGAGCCACTGCACCCAGCCCTGTCTTTTTTTTATCCCCAGAGAAACACTGGTAAACAACCCTCTTGCAGGATCAGCCCCTTGTACTCCCACGAAGATTAGTTAAAACTGAGATTTGATCTGGTGAGGGTTAGACCAGGTGTAAACTCGGCCTTCACCCTCTGTTAGTGAGGTCTGCTGCAAGCATGCTGTGCCTCAGGATCTGGATATTTGAAAACAGAGTTTGATAAGATAACATCTGTCCCCTCTCCATGAGCAGTGCCTTTGTTTTAGATGGAGAGATGAACTTCCCTACTAGGCCAGGGAGATAACCTATTGCATAGGAATTGCAAGATAAATAAAACCCAATCTTTACTACCTCTCCACCACCACCCACCAGCTCCCATGAAATGCTCACGGGAACAAGAATACATGCTAGCTCCGGGAAGGTAATCAAGTGAGAATTCACTGAAGAGCTCAAGGGTGCTTCTGTGACTGTTAGAATACTGTTTTCATTATGGAAGCTTCAGTGTGTCACTTGTTTTTGTGGGTAACAGTTATGGTCAAGACCAAAGATAAACAGAACATTTGTCTTTAACATGAACTCCCTGCACGTCTTTGCCAAACCTCCTGAACATGAGATCAGGTTCAATGAGAAGTGCTCTCTACATACCCATGTGTTCAGGAATGATATGCCTCTGTCGTGGTTTGAAGGATTTTAGTTATCCAGTTTTTAAGCATATTTTTAAATATAGAAATACAAGGCAGACTGTTTTTCCCATCTACACTCAGATTCACAGATTTTCAATCAAAGCAGAAATATTCAGTTGCTTCTCCTTTAAAAAGCAGACCCAATACAGAATTTCAGTTTTACAAGATGAAAGGAGTCATGGAGATGGAGTGTGGCGATGGTTGTACAACATTATGAATGTGTTTAATATCAATGAACAGTACACTTAAAAGTGGCTAAGATGGTGAACTTTATGTTATGTGTATTTAACCACAATAAAAATAGTAATTGAAAAAGTAATAAAATAATAAAAAGACCAAAACATGTGGACTCAAAAAGACAATGCTTATTTTTTCTATCACTCAGTGCCCTGTTTTACGTAGCAGGTGTGCAAAAAAATTGTTCCACATAAATAAGTGCCTATGATGACTCCTGTGTGCTTGTTTTATGACTATAAAAAGATCATTGACTATTTTAAACTGAGTAATGGGCAGAAGTTTCATCAGTTTTCCCTTCCTAGCATCCTAGCAGCTTATTAGGTTAAAGAGTAAATACCAGAGCAGCAGGAATATGATAGGATTGTCAAGCAGGTAAAACTGAATATCCATCCTCCTCCCAAGCTATTTGTAAACACCAGCACTCTGTCTCTCGGTTTCCCTGTTTCTTAGATGCTCAGCCTACAGAAGGAGAGAGAGAAATCTGGAACCAGATCAGCGCCGTCCTTCAGGATTCTGAGAGCATCCTTGCAGACCTGCAGGCTTACAAAGGCGCAGGCCCAGAGATCCGAGATGTATGTCAATGATCACGCTGAACTGACAACACCCGAGGAGGGGAAGGAAAACCACACATGCACACAGACACACACAGCAAGATTAAGTAATAGCTACAGTATTTCCTAGAGTACCAGGAAGAACAAGGAGGGTAATGTGTCCTTAAAAACAAAATGCATGGGCCGGCTGCGGTGGCTCACGCCTATAATCCCAGTACTTTGGGAGGCTGAGGCAGGTGGATCACCTGAGGTCAGGAGTTCAAGACCAGGCTGGCCAACATGGTGAAACCCAGACTCAACTAAAAATACAAAAAAATTAGCTGGGCATGGTGGCAGGTGCCTTTAATCCCTGCTACTTTGGGAGGCTGAAGCAGGAGAATCACTTGAACCTGGGAAGCAGAGGTTTCAGTGAGCTGAGGTTGCACATCGCACCATTGCACTCCAGCCTGGGCAACAAGAGTGAAACTCTGTCTCAAAAAAAAAAAAAAAAAGAGCATGAATCGCCCCTTTTATTCTAGTGCATTAATCTGAGCACACAGTGCTATAGATTAATATTACCCATTCTCTTCTCAAACACACAAGTGATATTGCAGGACTCACATTTAAACAATAATGTATCAATATGTTATTTCATTTAAGGGAAACAATGTAAAGTCTGTGAACAACAGTTGAAATATGAACCATGAAGTCTGGGTGGACATGTACTTTCTGGCATTTGGTAATTACTCAGGCAGGTTCCACCAGTGTGATACACAACAGCCAAAACCATCTTGCTTTCAGTTTGTCATCTCAAATGTCTTATGAGATTTTCTAAAATTAACAGAAAACAAAACAACAACAAAAACAAAAAAGAAAATCACCACTTTGACTTTTGCAACTTCGCAATACCTTAAAAGCAAGAAACTTCACACTCTTTTTATGTGAAAGCATTAGTTTTGTGGCAATACCAACACATACATATACGCATGCCAATACACACATACACACACACACATACGCACACATGCACACAGTACTGCCACTGCTCCCATCCTTCTGAAAAGAACACCACCACCGTCATAATCCTCAAGTTGCTGAAACTCAGACAAGGCGGAGTTTCTAAAAAAGTAACAGTCTAGTAAGAGGTGGTTTTTCTACTTAGGGGTCACCATTTAATTTATACAATTTAGGTAACATGACAAACTGGCAGGAATGCAATACCTATTAAAGATAAACAAAATGTCTACAGAATTTGCACTTTATAATGAGCAGAATTCCACTTTAGAGGAGTCTAATGGTGATGGAGAGGGCTGAGTTTCTTCCAATTTAGATGTGAATTTTTTGTATTCAAGATAATAGAAACAAGTAAGATGACACAGGATGTAATTGTAGAGCCATTTGCTGTATGTTCAAGTGTTAAAATTTCCATTCATATTGAGCATGTTGGAGGACCATCCGATGAACCGGTGTTGATTTAAGTAGTATACATCAGCAAAGTATAGCAAGGATTGTATTTTAAACTAAATCTTAGGGCATTTTGATGTGGAGCTTACCACTTCTTTTTAAACAGTCAGCTCTACTGTGTTTTTGCAGGCAATTCAAAATCCCAATGACATTCAGCTTCAAGAAAAAGCTTGGAATGCGGTGTGCCCTCTTGTTGTGAGGCTAAAGAGATTTTACGAGTTTTCCATTAGACTAGGTGAGTATGTATTTGTAGTTTTCATGGCCCACATACGGAGTTCTGTTTTGATGTTTGAGTAGGTAGTGGGAACAGCGTGGCATATTGGAAAATGTCCCACATCCATCCACTGTATCAAATGAGAGGCCATTTATGAGCAACAACTCTTGTCATTTTCATTTCTTTCAATCCACCACAAAGTTCTTCCCCTGAAGTTATTGGCCCATTTAGTGTGTCTCTACTAGTGAGTATCTTCTTGGTCCTGTTCTCATCTGTGTCCAATTCTTAATAGTTTTACTGTGGGCTGATCACATTTCTGAATAACAGAGAAGTTAAAAGATAACAGGTTACCTGCTCACCCAACAAATAACTTGCTTGTCTGGAGTCATATGATAAATTTAATAGAGTAAAATGCAAGAAAAACAATGTAACATTATTTCCTTAAGCTTTAAAAAACTGTGCAAGTACAGGATGGCTTTGTAGATGTTGAGTAATGCCAAATCTGGTTGGAAATAGGATCAATGTGACCAGCAATATGACAAAATCACTCCCCAGGGAGGATGCTTCATTGGTTAATACAGTATATCTTGAATGAAGAAGGCATGTTCTACTCTACTTTTGCCATAAAATGAGTGCCACAGATTAAGAGGAAAACAGAGAACTTGAAATACCTTGGGGGAGTAATGACCGTGATGTTAAGAGGACTAGAAGCTGAGACGAAGGGAAGTACTTGAATGAACCAAACCCGTTTTCCAAGAAGAGAGGGTTTCTGATGACTCTCAGATAGAAGAGAGTAAAAGAGAACATAGACTTCTTTCTATGTTTCCTCAAAGGGTTGACCCAGTGAATGGAAATTCTGAGGAGCCAAATTTTTGCTCAACAGAAGGAAAACAATTCCTTACGAGAGCAGGCCAAGGTAGAACTGGCTGCCTCAAAAGAGAGTGTGTTCTTACAGATGGAAATATCTCAAAAAGGCCAGAGATATCCCGGTAGAAATGCTATAAAAGTTATGTAAGAACTACATAGAGCAGATGTCTGCAAACTTTTCTGTAAAGGGCCAAATCATAAATATTTTAGAGTTGTGGGCCGTCCTGTCTTTTTTGCAACTACTCGCCTCTGCCACTCTCATGTAAAGGCAGCCCTAGTCATTACATAACAGAATGAGCACGTCTGTGTTTTAATAAAACTTGTGTTTATTTACAAAACACAAGTAATGGACCGGATTTGGCTGATGGGTCATACCTTGCCAATCCCTGCTTTAGAGGATTGGTTAAATGACTCTGTGCTATTAGAAATATATTGAAGAACAAGCTATAAGGGACTGTTTAGAGAAACAGACAAGTGGGAGTGGTGAAACTGTTGCAAGAAAAATAATGGAGGTAGATAGGGCAATGGGTTCATAGAAAAATATTCTTGGGATTAGGTTAGAATGTAGATGCAGAGAAAAGTCCAATAGGGGCAGAGGTCTTTCCCTGCAAAGCCGGTCATCTAACCCATGTGTTTAGGGCACCGTCTCATCTCATCCTGAATCATGAATGGCTGTCTCATGCACATGACCCAAAAACACATATCTGTGGTTTTCTAACAGTGTCAGAAATTGAGATTACTAAATATGTCCAGGTCCAGCTGAGCTTAGAAAGAAATTTACAAAACACTGTGGCCATGGGGGGTTTCCTCAGGGGAGGCTGCCTGCCCAGCCATGTGGGATTCCTTCTCTTCCTCGTCCACATGCAGCACACCTCACGTAGTTATCGGGAGAGACTCAAGCAGGTGATCTCCGAGATTGTCAACTGAGGCTGGGAATTGTGTTCTTTGAAGGACCTCTGTGGGCCACCTCCAACATATCTATTTATCCCTTTGATTTTCAGAAAAAGCTCTTCAGAGTTTATTGGAATCTCTGACTTGTCCACCCTACACACCAACCCAACACCTGGAAAGGGAACAGGCCCTGGCAAAGGAGTTTGCCGAAATTTTACATTTTACCCTTCGATTCGATGAGCTGAAGGTTAGGCCAAATGTGCTGTGAAAATTTAATAAACTTGTACTGAGTACCTACTGTTTACAGCTGTTCTGTTAGTGCTGTGGGGTGGGTGGGTAGAGAAATGAGTAAGATGTAATTCCTTCCCTAGAGAGACATATAATGTGGTGAGAATTTGCATTCCATGTGGTAAAAGTAATTTAAGATGATGATTTGTATATGGAAATTTTAAATCTGCCAAATGAAATCAGAGAAAACCTTTTCAAGTATCTGTTCCACATTGAGACCAAATATACTTTCCCTGAAATCTAGCCCACAGGGCATATTTTAAAATAATGAAGTTGTGGGTCCTTATTTCTAACCAGAAGTTGCTTTGACTCTTATGTAACAAAGAGAAGTCCTGGAGTATTTATAAAATCTAGTGTCTGGGCTCCTCCTAATGCATATACCCCATCTGATACTGAGAGATGACCTTCGCTCTTGTCCTCTGAATTTCAGATGAGGAACCCGGCTATTCAGAATGACTTCAGCTACTACAGAAGAACAATCAGTCGCAACCGCATCAACAACATGCACGTGAGTCCCTGGGTCGCCTTGACCTTTGCACCCTTCTCCATGACTCTTTTGATTTCTGCATCAGGCAGAGCACAGACAGAAGACAATGTCCTTGTCTGTAATTCAGTTCCAGAGAAAAGTATTTGGAGGATTTGGACTTTCTCTTTATAAATCCATCTTCTCTTCTTATTTTCATCAGCTAGACATTGAGAATGAAGTCAATAATGAGATGGCCAATCGAATGTCCCTCTTCTATGCAGAAGCCACGCCAATGCTGAAAACCCTTAGCAATGCCACAATGCACTTTGTCTCTGAAGTAAGTGAAGTTGAGCAACGAGGTGCTTTTTTCCTTAATTCCACACAAGAGCTGCAAGCAGGACTAATGTACATTTGTGTCTCCCATTTAGAACAAAACTCTGCCAATAGAGAACACCACAGACTGCCTCAGCACAATGACAAGTGTCTGTAAAGTCATGCTGGAAACTCCGTAAGTTAAATCAGAGATGTATTCGTGGTTGAGACTTCACCCAGCCAGTGTCTGTTAAGATGATGATGTTAATGATATGTAACATTTGGGTCAACACCCTAAAGTTTTCATGTATATTATCTGCTTTAATTTCACTAAGAACTCTGAGTGGTAGGTGTCACTATCACTACTGCATAGCTGAAGAAGCTGAGGCCCAAAGTGGTTGACTGACTTCCCAACAACTGCATAGCTTGTCAGGTGGCAGAACCAAGGCTCAGATCACAGATGCTGTAGAAGATCTGTAAGAACCAAATGGAGGGTGTGTTAAATGATGGGACATCATGATAAATATATTGTAGAGAAGATATAAAACCAGGAGTTGACATGATAAGACTGTTTCAAGAGTGAAAATGGAGGTCTCTCTCTTTCTCTCTCTCTCTGTCTCTTTTTGTACCTAAACTAGTTGCTACTTGTTAGATTTAAAAATGATTGAGAATATTGAGGATGAAGCAGCATGGTAATCTGTGCTCAAAATTCTGAGTTCCATTTATGGCTGTAGCCCCTACTATGCCTGTAAATAACTGGCCTGACTTCCTGAGCCTCGGGTTCCTCATCTAATGAAGTTCCCATAAGGCCATCTACTTTGCAGAGTCTTTAGGAAGACCAAAGCCATCAAGAGTACCTTATAAAATCTGATAGCCTGTTCAAATGTAAGATGGCATTAATTTCAAATATTTCACTTGTACCAAAGTTAAGATTTATTCCAAGGCAGAAATAGTAATCATCTTCATTGCAGAGCCAATTCATAATGAAATAGATGCTAAGAAAGCCTCTAGGAAAAAAGCCTCTAGAATTGGCCTGAATTATCTGAATCATCAGTGACCCTGTCAAGGTAAGTGAACAAAATTCAAACTCTACAAATACTCTTGGATGCTCAATGAATGATACATAGTTTTTTAAGGTATTTTTGCCAATCCAATACAATCTGCAGCCTGTGTTTTAACAAAGGAAGTTACTCCGACTGGAGACATGATAGCTGCTCCGTAGAAATGAGCCTAATTCTTTTTCTCTGTAATGAAGCCATTACTCTCTATAATCTTGGACAGCCAGAGGGACCTGCTATAAAATATTCAAGATTGATAGGTGGAGGAGTGAGGTACATGATGAGCTAGCCCGCTGAAGGGCAGATGAGAAGGGAATTTACTGCCCTTTAATTTACTTCATTTTCACACTGAATTGCTGGTTGAATAGATTCAAGGAGAATTATCATCATGGATTTCCTCAGAAGCATATTAACTGGTTGTTGCAGGTCTGGGATTGTTCCCAAGAGAGGATTGGAGGCATCTAAAGTATCCAGTTGTGGGGCCAAAGAACGCACATGTTCTGACAAGGAAGTGACGCCACTGCTGTTTCTTCTCTTGCAGGGAGTACAGAAGTAGGTTTACGAGTGAAGAGACCCTGATGTTCTGCATGAGGGTGATGGTGGGAGTCATCATCCTCTATGACCATGTCCACCCTGTGGGAGCTTTCTGCAAGACATCCAAGATCGATGTAAGAATAGTTGTGAAATGTGCTTTCCAAATAAGGGCCCATGAATGTTGCCAGACCTTGTTTTTCTTCCTCAGGCACCTCAGGACCTCTCCACTGAGAGTGATCTTTCTAAGATGCACAGCCCATCCTGGCAGCTGTCCTCACAGCAAGATGTCCAGGCTTTTTCTTGTGCTTAGGAAAAAACACTCAACCTCAAAAGCACAGCAGCAATGTTATGATGCTGATCCCCTCAGTCTCTAATGGAGCTGAGCAAATGAACAGTCACTTAGTTGCATGCAGTCCCTTCATTTACCCAGTGTGCTGTACAAATAGATGGTTTCTATTCTATGTGTGTCCTATTGTGAAGAGTTGGGAGATACTACATTACAAGACACTATGGTCAAATCCCAAATTACCTTTCACTTCCTCTCCCACCACTACCTGTTGCTCCACTCATGTCCCATGCCTTTCCTCATCATTTGGATATACGTGATATGTGTGAGTCCTTTCTCTTGCCGAGAGAGCCCTTCCTCTTCCTCTCTGATGGGTGGGTTCCTTTCAGACATGTTTCAAACATCGCCTCATCTAAGAACACATTTTCTGCATAGGACAAGCCTTCTTGCTTCTCTGGTCGCCAGAGCACTCACCGTTCTGTATTTTCTGACTCCCTCACAGACAATTTCTTGACAAGGACAGGGACCATAATCTATATACCTCATGTCTGCTCTATTGCCTCACACAGTACCTGGCACATAGTGGGTGGAACTCAACAGACACGCTGTAGGTGTTTTGATGGATGAATGAATGAATGAATGAAGATAATTGAAAACACATGATTTTGGTGCACAGTTGCTTTGCTGTTGATTGTGGCATAAAGCACACCTCCTCTTCATCCAGCACTTGCCTCTAGCACCAACCCAATAGTGTATTCCATGTACTCATTTAAAGCCTTTAAAGTGCAGAATAGCATCTCTTGGTAGTAACTTACTTACTCCAGTATAGCCGAGTCTGGGTGACACACTGTGTTCACTCATCTGCAGAGAACAGTGTCCTGATGCTCTGGCCCTATGCAAGAGAAAGTCTACATGCCCAGGAGGGCCATAGGTCTGAAGAATGCAAGATAATGTATCAATAAAAAATGTAACTTGGATTACTTATTTTAAGGTTCTGAGTTCGTAGTATAGTTAGTCATGTTTCTTCATAGACTCTTTATTATTTTTAATGTAATTATTTCTATGTACCAAGAAAATAAATATTTATGTGAAAAAAATTTTGACACTTAGAAAATCAAGACATAGTAAATTAAATATATCCTGTAATAACCTCACCATAGGCAGAGGATCACCGTTCATACAGCAGCATGCATGTGTACCTTCTTTTAGTATAGATGCTTGTGTGGACATGTGTGTGGATGTCCTTAACAAATTAGTACCCTGCTTTACGTGCTATTTTGAAACATATTTCATTTACATAAAAGTGTATCATGGGCATTTTTATACCAATAAATATTTTTACTGTATCCTTTGTGAGGCTTTAACATTTTCATACTATAGATTGAGTATAAATAACTCTGTAAATATTATTTGACTATGGGTTGAGTTCATTACCTGAGACTCATAAGATATTCTCATTACCATAGCCATTTGTTAACTTGTCACAGAGTCAACAATTAAAAATACACTGGGTAAAATTATGCCTTGTAGCCCTAATCTTTAAAAAGCTTGGCTTTATATGTTATTTACTGAGTCTTTCAGTTGAGGCTGTAAACAGTATATCATGTTAAGTCTTCACGCATAGTCTTGATGAAGTTTGCTTTTGTCCGTGGAGGTCAAAAGCACTACGTAAGGTTTGTTCATATGGATGTTTGCGTGTACCTCTAAGAAAGTTTCAGGCTTAATAAGCACGGTAAACCATTTGAGATGGGCCATTTTTTTTTTACGACATATAGGGTCTCCATTCAGATACTAGTCTGTTTCTAAGCCAGCAGTTATAGTCACTGGGCTCGTAAATCATTAGGGCATCAGCATCAACTGTGAAAACCCCAGGATCTCTTCGTGAGGGCCTGAGAGAGGCAGGCACTGTGTGTGTACTTACAAAGGGCATGCTTTGGAGTGCAGAATAGACATGCAGTGAGCTCTGGAAACCTAGGGGGAGGGAGAAACTCGTTTTGCCGAAGAGCAGAGACAGAGGGTGATGTTTGAGGTGGACCTTGAAGAAGATGTAGGATTATCCCAAAAGGACAGAGGGAAAGCAGAGTCCTCCAGGCAGGGGGAATCATCCAAGTGGCTACCAAGGCGGCACAAGCCATTTATTAAAGAAATGCTAATTGTGAATGCCAGGAAAGGAGGGTTTGGGGAGATGGTGTTTTCAATTGATTTCCTTAGAATCTTTTGAAATGACCCAATAAGTAATCACCTCTTAACCCCTGTCTCCATCTCAGATTTTATCCAGAATTCCAGACCCCATTTCCCATGGACACCTGAAATATGGCCATCCCCAAAACAGAGATTCCCCTCCCCCCACAAACCTGTTCCTTCTCCTGGGTTCCCGTCTCAGGTATTTCATCGTCCTCCAACCAGTGTCTAAGCCAGAGGCTAAAATTGTCCCTGAGAATGAGGAATGGCTTCTTCACCCCATATCTCATCAGTCACCAAATCCTATGGAGTTGACCTCAGATTAGTCCCTGTCTCTACTTGCTCCTCCATGCCCACTGCTGCTCCCACACCTCACACCCTCAGGGGCTCTCACTGCCCCTTCTCTCTCTGTTCTTGCTTCCTTCTGGTCCTTTTCCATATTAACCACATCACTAGATTATTTAACACCTATCAAGGATGTTTTCCACAGGTAAAGCCCCCAGCTCCTGAACATGCTGTCGAATTCACACTGCATCTGGCCCCAACTGCATCCTTGACAGCATCTTGTTATTCATACCTACAGCTTAAATCACCCTAAGTGGAACTCCGGATTCCCAAACAGCATTCCCTGCTCTTCCACCCCTTCCACATCTGCATTGTCACTGCTTCTTAGGCCTGGTTCATAAGAACACTTCCACACTGTGATAATCAACTATGGGAGAGGGACAGAATCTCTGCATCCCTGGGCCTGATGCCATCCCAGGTCTGGGGTGGCATATACCTGGCATGCTTGTAGCTTCTCCCAATCCGGTATGCATGACAGACACCTCTCGTTTGCCATGACATTCTTTTTTGATGCACCTGTAGTGATCCTCACATGATTCCCAACCCTGTTTTCTGGCAGCCTCCATCAGTCTATCAGGGTCTATCAGGCCGTAAGATAAAACTTTTGACATGCAAGAAGCACAATGACAGAAAATGTTTCTAAGGGCTGTTACAAAAGGGGCCCTAAGTATAACCAAATCCAATATATAACAGCATATGAATAGCTTTGCAGAAAGATTCTTGCTTTGCCAAAAAACACTCCAGGATATGCATAATGTAATGTGATCTATATAAATTCAGTTTCCATGCACTTCCCAAATTACGGGTCAACTATATTATACAGACACAAAAAGCTAAGACACTTGCCTAGGTTTGTGAAGATACTAAAGAAACAAGCATGAAGGAAACTCAGGCATTTAGCATCTGTGAAGTTCACATTCTGAACAGTGGCCCTTCATCAGTCCTCTCAAAGATGGCTGAGACATAGACTTGGACCTCCAGGAGCTCCTGGTCTAGTGAAGAAAGAAGTTAATATGGGCACTAAATTCTCCAAGTTTCTCTGATAAATGACAGAGTCGTATTGGGAGCACAGAAAGGTGTTGGTTGCTTCTACCTAATGAAGGTAGTGAGGTCAGAATAGGATTCCAGGAGGTAATGATCTTCAGCTGGGTCTAAAATAAGTGTTAAGGGTTTGCCAGTCAAACAGGTGAAGGACAGAAAACATTCAGGGCAGAAGAATGGCATAAAATTATTCAGATTTTATTCAGTAAATCTCAACTGAGACATAGACTTGGACATAGACATGTCCAACATAGACATAGACATGGAAACTGAGCACTGAGTGGATGGAAGGCCCTGCATTTGGCTCCATAGTACAAGGCAAGATCAAAGTCTCAAGTCTTTGTCCCTAAAGCCAGGCAAGTGAAATGTACAATTGCAAATAGTATGAAAATTGATAATGATTGCAGTCATACAGAATCCTCTAGAAGCCCAGAGGAACAGCTCACCAGCCTGAGGGGGTAGGAAAACCTGTTGGTCATTTCTGCGTTGGATTTCTATGGGAAGATATAATGTGACATTATGGGCACATGTTATTATGGGTAGATATTGGCATAGACAGTATTACTAAGATATTAACAAACATTGTGCTTTCTCCTCCTAGATGAAAGGCTGCATAAAAGTTTTGAAGGAGCAGGCCCCAGACAGTGTGGAGGGGCTGCTAAATGCCCTCAGGTGAGCTTCAACCCTGTGTCAGCTCACAGGGAACAGCCAGCCTTTCAGGGCCATTGCAAATTTAAATACTGTTGTGGATAGCACCAAACTTAACCCTTGCATATTTTAACACATTGAATCTTCCTAACAATCTTTTGAGGTCAGCACCATTTTTATCATTCCCATTTTTAAAGATGGAAAAAAAATGAGATTTAAGGAAGTCAAATAACTTGCCAAAAGTCACACAGTAAATGGCCAAGCTAGGACCTGAACCCAGGTGTGGGTGACCCCACGGGTCATGGACCTGATTCTCAGCCACACTGCTTTGGGGCTTAAAGAGACTCCTCAGAACAAGAGGCTTCCAGGCTCTCACTTTCCACTTTACCAGTGGTTCCCAAACCTGGCTGCACTTGAGGATTATGTGGGTACCTTTTGAAAACACTCTGTGTGATTCTGACTGCATGTGACTCAAGACCAAATGAATCGGAATCTCTGGGCTAGGGTCTCAGGTATCCATTTTGTGTTTCTTTGTTTATTCTAAAGCTCCCCAGGTGGTTCACATGTGCAGCTACCAGAATTGAGAACCCACTGTCTAGATGCCTAAATATTTGGCCAGCTGTGGCATGTTTCAGCTTCTCACTGCTAACAAGTGATGCCTAGGCAGCTGCTTTCTTCCCAGGGATGCATGTGCTTAATCCATTTCAGAGAGGGGATGCTTTTTTTAGCTCTGACACATCTACAAGAATTGGTTGAATCACACTGCTATGTAAATCATTCTGATACTAGATTGCAGTCCAGAAGGTTTATGGTCCCTGTTGTCTTATTCATCTTTGAGTCCCCTGAGTTCCACTCAGTGTTGTACATGCAGTAAGTGTTCAATAAGTCTAAGTGGGATGGATCAATAATGCTCTACCTATGTACAATGCTCATGTTTTATACTCCACTTCTAATCATATTGTCTCATTTAATCATCACAAGTCAGAGAGGTAAGGGTGATCTGTTACCCCCACTTAATAAATGAAGAAACTGAGACACACACAAAATGAACAAAATAGACCCTGAGGTTGATGCTGTTTTGCTGTGTTGCTAAGTCATCATCCTTTAGAAGAGACTTAGTATTAATGTAAGAGCCTTCCAGAGTCTGTGGGAAAAACTAAGGTTTTCTCCTGGTGTCCATTTCACACCCAGGATGACTTTCTATACACATGAATAAGGCTTTAACTTCTGAGTGTGTTGAGCTTTCCAGCATCATTCAATCAAGCAAAACTCTGTGCTAGGCCCTGAGTCCCATCTGATTTGTTAGAATTTGTACCTCCTGGAGGCACTGTGATGATGTCAGAGGAGCACAGGCTTTCCAGATAGCAAAATATAGGTTTGAATCAGAAATCACAAATCTCAATTCAGTAACCTTGTGATCTGGAATAGATCATTTAACCTCTCTGAATCTTAGTTTTCTTTTCTATAAAATGAAGGCAATGACCTCACCTTTACAAAGTTATTGTAACACGAAACTTAACATGGAGCGCCCATGACCTGGCCAAAGTTTTATTACATGTTAATTCTCTTTTCCTTCTTTTGCATAAATGATTTCTACACCCGGCTATTGGGAGGCTGCAGATTGCACCATTTTTGTGGGTTTGCTTACCAGCATTTGTGCCCCCTTGTGGTGGCAATGAGGTTAATTAAGCATTGCCAGGAAAGTGGAGAACCATAAACATTCCAGTTCTGGGCAATGTTGCTATGCAAATCTCTATTCTGAAATTTGTGAGTTAGCAGGGGCAGCCTCAGTGGTCAGGATTCTGCACTCAATCCTGTGAAATCCACCTCCCTAGAAAATGAGACCGCTCATATCTCCTCTGTGTAATTATTTGATTATGTAAAATATCTACTTGGTTTAATAACCATAATACAAAATTCCTTTGGAAGGAAGAATCAAATATTAAATCTGAGATGACTGTGAGCATTGAAGTGTGGATTTTTGTCTAAAGAAATAAGCCCAAATATCAATTGTGTTTCCGAAGGTAAAGATGGGCTGAAGCTTACACAGAGCACTGTTTGCCGCTAACCTCTACCATTCTCTCTCCATCCAGGTTCACTACAAAGCACTTGAACGATGAATCAACTTCCAAACAGATTCGAGCAATGCTTCAGTAGAGCTCTGCTCAAAGAAGAGGATCTATGTGCTGACCTCAGAAGATGTATATGTTTACATAATTTAATACAGATTGATGTTAATACTTGTGTATTTACATAACCGTTTCCTTCTTGTCACTGAAATATATGGACCTTAATTTGTATCCTGACTGACTCAACCCAGCAGAGCATAAATTGACTTGAGAGCCTTACCTTTGATGTCTGAAATGAAACCCCCTTCTCCAAAGGCAAAATTCGGAGACTTTGATCTTTGCTACTGGAGTCCTTTAACAACATCTATAACGATAAAAAATTCCTAATTGTTTGTGGTAGTATTTTAATTCTAGATGTGTTATCTCTCTGGGAAGTATAGTTTATAGAAACACAAAATATTTGATTTCCTGTGTCGGCTCAGCTACAAGAAACACAACTGTTATCTTGACAGAGGAAGAGAGGAATCCAAGAAAAATGCATGTGGAGAATTAAACCCAAGTGTTTCGAATTCAGCACACCCCCTCTCTGTCCTCAGACTGCAGTCCACACGTGCAACTTTTCTGTTTGCACGTGTTTTATTAATCAGCATACTCCTTTTCTGTTTGGATTTATATCCCTCTAATGTTCTCCTTTAATTTCACATGAAAAAAAAATCTCCTGTATTTTTTTCAGTTAGTGGGAGAGCAGCAGAAATAGATAGATGTGCTGTTGCCACTGGACTGATGAAGGTGGCTGTCTTGGAACTGGGAGACAGGTCCTCAGAGGTGCACTCAGGCAACAGGACAGCCATCTCTCTGCTTCAGCCCTCTGCCTACAGGGATTAGGGAAATGGAGCTCTGGCTTTGAAGTTATTTGTGAGTTTAGCAACCTTCCAGTTACCTGCAGAGTTCTGGGTGCACAGCCACCCCTCATAAGAGCCCTGTTCTCTGAAGACCATTCATATGAGAACAAAGGTCTAGGATACTGCATTAGTTACCAGAAAACTAGGGGAATTTAGAGGGAAAAAAAATCCATGTTTTCTATTTCCCAGGTTTTTAAAAAGTAGCTCTTCCCCAACCCCGTTGCTAGCTTGTTGCAATATAAAAGCCCTGGTGCACCTGAATTTACTCCTGGCCTTACTAATGATTCATAATGTGATCTTGAGAAATGTGTTTAAGCTTTCTGAGTCTTAACCTCCTTGTCTCTAAAATGGGCAATTAAAACAATCTTCAAGAGCCCTGTAAGGTTAATGCCGATAAAATGACTGACTCCGCCCTTCTTCCTTAGTACGTAGTATCCAGCAAGCATTTGCCCCACCTTGTCTTGTTGATGAACAATATTATGAAGCCTGCAGTCATTCTCTCTGTACATCAGAGCTTAGTTCGAATGGAATCATGAAAATCTCTGATTCTGACCTCCTAAGGAAAAATGAAACCCAGAGGATGTGGTCATACAGGATGGCTCCCATGTGGGCCTAGAACCCAGGATGCTTCACTCTTGACTCCATGCTCTTCCTTTTATACCATGTGGCTGTGAATACATACTATGGGATGGGATTCAACCCTTCTAAGTAAATCCTCAGTCTGGTCTATATTGTTACTTGCCTGTTTCCACTAGAAGGAGTCACCCAGGCATTTAGTGAATGATAATCCTAGAAGTTGAGTCTGAGTACATCAGAGTTTGGCATTATTTGCAACATCCCAGGAATGAGCTATAAGACTCCATTGCTTTCTGGACTTTAGTGACCAGCTGATCTTCCCTTGGATCCTCCAATAAAGGGGAAAAAATACTTGTCTTATGTTGTTTTAGCAAGGGAGTTCAGCCAAGTGACAGGAAAGATTCCCTGGTCTGCATCTAAACATTAGTCAACAGAAGGAAAAGGCTCTTTTCCTTGGAGATTTTCAAGTTGAAAAAGTACAGCTGCTTGGATGGAGTTTCTCTCATCAGAATAGAAATATGCTAGGTGGTCTTCAAGACCTTTTTGAACCTACAGATTCTAAACCTTAGAGGAAGCCAGAATATGTGATCATACCAGGTGAGGAAAGTTAGGAGATATTCATCTTAAGAGATATCCTATTTGGCAGTCACATGTTACACTTGAGCAACAATTGTCTAGGCTAGAAATATAGAACCACACAATATTTATCATCATTGGGTCAATTTCTCCCCCTCTATCAAGTGAGGAGATTAAGGCTTAAAGAAAGGAAAGGACTTGCCAGCCACCACAGGGCTCATGAGGGGCTTGAACCCATGTCGTGTGTCTCTACCACAGCTGACTCTCAGCTGGCTAATGGAGAAAATGTGAGGAATTACCTGTCAAATTAGATTGAGCTCAGAGTAAATAGATGAGCACATTTATAACTCTAAATTAGACTTTCTATCAAATGGGACCAAACATATGGAAGGGGCTGCTGTCCTGCCTCAATTTAGCCAAGACTTGTCTTGTCTCAAAGCCAAGACTCAGCAGTACATGGATTCTGAGAAGTCCAGGGTCTGAATTGTTGTCTCTGATTACTGGAAGGACAGGTTAACTGAATGTCTGTGATCACTAACAGGTGATGGGCTTTGTGCCCACTCCAGAGATATTGTGGGAGACAAATTCTTTTAACAGCCTGTCCTCCCGGCATCAGGAGTCATTGAACAATCATGGATTGTTGTGTTTGGGATTTTTTTTTTTTTGGCTTTGTTTTTGGTTTTTGTGTGTGTGTGTGTGTGCTGCATGCACATGCGTCCAAGACTTACGGGTGGTTTAGGGGAAAGTGCTAGCAACAGTGTCAATGTCATTGTTAACTATATTTCATATTTGAGGTCTCATTGTTTTCAAATAAACAGTGTTTTCCATGACTGAGATATTTATTTTTGGGAAAGCAACGAGGTAAAAATTATGTTTCTCAGATGCACTGCTACTTTGGCGTTATTACTGTGTTCTCAGAAACTCGTTGTGCACCACTAGGAATTAGTAGTAGAAAAAAAAAAACAATAACAAAAAAAAAAAACAACTGGAAATGGATGTCTTCACATTAGGGGTGGAGTATTAACAACCAGAAAGAAAGTTTGGATATTACCTTTTAACTACTAGTTAACATCATGCTTGATCAACATTTGCTCCTAGTTATCACCATTAAATTAAGACCTTAATGGTAAACTGAGGTTACTGATGCATCATCACATTTAAGTAAAAATAATTTCATGTTTTCCCCAAAGAAAAATTAAGCCTCCCAATCTTAGGATCCAATTGTGCAGTAGAATTCAGAGACTTCTCATTCAATCTTGTATCCTATGCAGCTACAAATATTTTTTAAATGTTAGTAATAAACATTGGAATTTTGTCTTAAAGAGTTCAAAACCTTGGAACCCAGTTTTCTCACTACGTCTATAAAGGCCATTACAGACCCAAGGCTGTTTTGCAGTTTTCATATGTTGTTTGCTGAAGTCATTGTAATTTTTTTTGCCTGCTTTGCCTTTTTTTCTACAGGAGTTTTGAGTGTGAAATGAAAATTAAAGTTTGGTACATATATTTAAAAATGCACCTCTATTTTATATGATGCTTAGGGTTGAGTGGGTGATAAGCACGTGATGATTCGTCTACATAGATACTTGCTAGACACGTACTCTGAGAAAATCACACCAGCAGCCCTTCACCTCTCTACACCTGAATTTCTTAAAAAAAAAAAAAAAGTCATACACAAAATGTGCTACTCGTGGTACCACCTGTCTTTTGTTCATTTTGCAAGAGAACCCTGAATAACAGCCAAAGGCAGGAAATTACCAAAAAAAAAAAAAAGGCAGAAAATGAACAGAGACATGATTGATATCTAGAGATGCCTGAGCCCTACTTGTCGAGAGATGCTAAGAAACACTAATAAGTGATCTTTTATTCTTTCTTTTGAGTGCAGTACTACTTTTTGGGTTTGGCAAGATCAGCAAATAACCGGTTTTATGTTAAGTATATTTTTCAGACAATGTAAGCCCTGAAATAATTCTTCTAACTATTCAACTTTGAGGCTTTCCTAGAGCATTGCTTTTAATCCCTGCACTTCTGAAGCTGATCACCTGAGACCTAATTGTGTGTGCTATCAATGGCTCAGAAGTCCCAAGAGAGACCTTCCATGATGCCCTGTGCAAAAGACAAAAGCACAATTATTAGGATTATTTGTGACACAAAGGGAAAGAAATAGAAAAAGGAATTTTTCTGTAAATTGACAAATGGACAAATTTAAAGAGATAAAACCTAGAAAGAGAGAGAAGGAAAAGGGGCCTTGAAGAGTGTGCATGTGTGTGCCCCTAATTAAATGAGTGTTGAGAGTCAAAGACATGAAAAAATAAGGAAGGGAGAATATGCGTAACTGTCAAGAGAAATACAGATAGTGAGGAATTGATGGATGTGCAATTCAGAATAGTCTTTATACCAGCCAGAAAGTTGACTGTTATTCGGGGTTCTCTTGAAAGGATGGGGATGAGGAGCTCAGCTGACCACATTCATGAAACCTGGTGAATATTTGCAGTCTTTCTTCATACCTGATTTCACCTTTTGGCTTATCAATGTGTAGATAGAATTTCTAGGTGTTTTCTGCTTGAAAGGTCTATATTATATTTGGCCATCACAACTTAAGTGACTGATTAAATAATACTGAATTGTATTGATCAGTTTATTTAAGCTATTTATATTCACTAAATACAATAATCCATCCAATACCTAAATCCTAGTGCAGACTGGCCTAATACCATGCTGACCTCACCTTCATAGTGCCTCTTACGTCATAAATAAAGTTCTAGGCCATTCTGTCTGCTTCTGCTCAGAAGTCAAACTCTAAAGAAGAGAGGTTTCCTGCACTGGTCCCGTCAGGTTCCTGAGGCTATGTCTTTGATGCTCTAGTGCTTTCCTTGCCTATTTTTCTTACATGAAAGTCTGAAAATTCTGGAACTGTTGGAAATGGATGTTCTGAAAATGTGTTCTGCAAAATACCTCCATCAGATTGCCATTTGAAATTGTGCTATATAGAATTTTAGGTAAATCTCAGAATTTAATTTTAAAAGAGTGTCTTTGGAGACACTCTTTTTGAAAATTGACTTAAGAAAATCTTTTCTTGGCAGGGCGCAGTGGCTTATGCCTGTAATCCCAGCACTTTGGAAGGCTGAGGTGGGTGGATCACCTGAGGTCAGGAGTTCGAGACCAGTCTGGCCAACATGGTGAAATCCCGCCTCTACTAAAAATGCAAAAATTAGCTGGGCATGGTGGCATGCACCTGAAATCCCAGCTACTCAGGAGGCTGAGGCAGGAGAATCGCTTGAATTCAGAGGACAGAGATTGCAGTGAGCCGAGATTGCGCCACTGCACTCCAATCTGGGTGACAAGAGTGAAACTCCATCTCAAAAAAAAAAAAAAAAAAAAAAAAGGAAACAGAAAAAGAAAAACAAAACAAAAGAAAATCTTTTCTCTATGACATCTTCTACTTTCCCCCATCAAATTTCACACTGCCAGATTATTTATTTTATCAGCCTGCATTTTCTGTGTATTTTTAAATGTTCCTTGTTTGCACAGTGACATGCTTTGTTTCAAGATGGGAGCTATATTTTATTCACCATTCTTAAGCCACCCAAGAGGTAAAGTTTTCAGTTCTGTGATTTGAGGAACGGAAGTCTTAAGAGGCTCCCTACACCTTGAAGAACATGCCTCTAGAAAATATCCAAAGCACTTGGGTGAGGCTATCAAATTGTTTTCTTCCAAATTTCAATATATTTGAAAAAATATTCCTTTTATATGAGACAAATAATAAAATCACTGTGGGGAAAGGTACAGTAGCAGTGGGGTTCCATGTGAATGTGAGTGGGGAGGATAAGCTAGACTATGCATAGAAATGTTAGGGAGCTCTGGTGAACTCTGAACCAGGTGAGTGTTTATTATCTCTCAGATGTGTCATGGGCATTTCCACACCTATGGTGCTGTCATTAATGCACACCCTCTTTTTTTGGTCTATATGAAGTCTACTTGTATACATCAAAGCCCAGGTCATTCTCCACCTCCTTTGTGAAGCTTTCCCTAATTATCCCAGCCCATGCTAACTTTCCTTTTCTGGGTCCCTAATGCATTTATTTGATACTAAATACAGGCCACTTTATAGCACTTGAAATTAGCATTTGTTTTTTCTACTAGATTTTGATTTCCTCAGTGTGTCCCTTAGAAGGCTGAGCTCAATATAAGCCAGTGGCCAAGAGGCTGTCTGCCAAGGGGAAACTTCAGTGTCCTGAGACCTGATATACTAAAATCAAACCCTGAGAATTAATTTCTACAGCTCACCAACCATCCACAATAACAAATTATCTCCTTCCTTGGCTGGTCAATTTTATTTCAAGAGGAAATATTTACCTACCTGTCAGGATGTTTTCAACTTCTGTGGACACAGCCTACAGTTTGCGGCTGCTCTGCCAGGAGTCCAGATGAGAAATCAGGCTGTTGTCTTGATCAAAAGTCAGTTAGCTAGTCCTGGCAAGGGCAGGAAGCCAACATAGTAGTTAAATTATGTCTTGGGACATCAGTCTGGGACAAGGCTGCTACTTTATAAGAGAGCTGAGTTTGACACACTCAGAGGCAGAAAGGCACCAGAAGCAGAGAAGTTCACATAACCAGACAAATTGATTCAGCACCTTGGAGAGCAACCTAGGTGTTGTGCCCTAACAGCATAGTCTTTACACTGGATTCTACAAGCCCTATTAGTTGGTTCAACTTTGTCTCTAGAACTCCGGTTTTCAAAGATAATATGCTCCTTCTAAAAATAAAGTTACCAGGTAGCTAGAAACCCACCTTCTTCTTTGTGGAACTTCTGAATATCACACAAAATGGGCAGAAAGAAGTTTGAAATGCCGAGGAATCACCTTGAGTGTTCATATTTATGGTGTTTTCAGATTTAAGCCAAACTTACAGGCATGACTCTTCCTTCTTCTTTAGTCCCACACCTCTTAGTCATACATATTTTTTCAAAACAGCTCTCAAAATATAGCAACTTCTCCCTAGTTTGTTTTGCTTTATTTTCTCAAACCATCATCATCTCCCTAGATCACCCAGCCTTTTCTGTTGCTGCTGCAATTTTTTCTCCACACAGCCAACACTCATTTTGTTGACATGTATCTGACCATGCTGATGTCTTTAGAAAGTTTCCTGAAATATATTTTCAGAGTTGTTAATTGGTTTTCAATGTGTGGGGTGAGAGGAAGATGTCAATTTTCAAATATTTGTGAAACAAGATTAAAGACATTATTTTATTATTGTTTTTACTACCGGATTTTTTTTATATATTGCAAATCTCCATGGGAGGGTATACCGTATGATACATATCAATTCTCAAGTTTATTTGTCTAAAGACTCTTGTGTATTTCACAAAACATCTATAATTTCTCATGGACATTAGCATTCTGCAAAAACATTACTAAGTCAAACCCAATAGCTTGAGATACAAGGCCTTCTATGAGATAAACTGCTTAATTCTCCCATCTCACTTACCTTCTATCAAACACGCATCCCATTTTCCCATGCTACAAAACTGGTTACAGTTTTCTAACATATCATCAATTTTTTCATAGTTATATGTTGCTAATAATGCTTCCCCTTCTGCCTGAAATTCGACTTCCTTTCATCTGCCTTATAAAATTATATTCATTCTTCAAGGCACTGCTCAAATGTTTCTCCCTCTTTGGACCTTTCTGTGTCCTATCCCAAAAAAATTATGAACTCTTTTCTGTGGTTCTCATCCCTCTCCTCTCTTTCTCTCTCTGTCTCTCTCTTTCTCTCTCTCTTTCTCTTGATCTGCCTATATACACACATACACAATACATATACTTTAATATATATGCAGTTTTATATATAATCTATATAAAATATGGTATTTAATATTATATTAAAGATGAGTGAGATAGAAATAAACACATAAAGAGACAAACATAAATGAAAACATGTTATATATGGATGTTCATCATAATATTTTTCACTTATGTGTTTACTTATGCTTTCTTCACTGAACAATGGATTCCTTAAAGGCAGTGACTATGTCTAATTTCTCTCTTAACCTCTCTATTCACATAATCTAATGAAATGCATAGCATTCAATGTCTGCTAAGGGCATGTTCAAATGAATTCACTCATCTCGCTTATAGCTGAAGTCCAGGCCATCCCACCACTCAAGATGAACTTGTGTGCTTTTGCACAAATGCAGTTCTGCCTGCTGATCTCCCTCTGGTGGGAGCTTCACTTTGCCAAGGACACTGGTCCAGAACCACTATGTAAGATTCAAAATAGATATCATGGTAATGGATATAGTCTGGCTCTTGCTCTACTCTCCAAGCCATGATTCTGGCATGGACTGTGCTATCCTGGAAGAAGAAGCTTCTTTTTGTGTTCTCACAAAGCATGCATGAATGATGACAGCCATGCACCAGGCCATCCAGAAACTATTGGTTCCCTGTTACTCCTGTTAGTGTATTTGGTACTGCCAGTGTACTCTGCTACTCTCACCTAAATAAATCTCCCCAGGATCTGTGAATAAGATGCTGATAGGATTTTCCAACAGGAACATTTCCCCAAGATGTTCATGCTAGAGCAGGTCTCAGATATGGGTTATTATTCAATGACACATTTGGGCAAGGGAGAATAACAAAACCTAATCACAAATGTTCATCACTGATCTCTATGGTAATTGTCAAATTTAAAGATGGAGGCAAGGGTGAACTGCCTTTAATGCTGAAAGCTGCCTGTGCCACACTAAAGTTCTTGTAGTGCCAGAATGGATACATCACCACAGAACCTGATATATCACAGAATTGTAGTCCAATGCAATCATACAATATGGAGACAGAGACCTGATTACCAGGTGACATAGCATTTGGGCTGGTTGGCCTAAGAAGGTAGAGATTGTCCTCAATAAGGTGGAGAAATGTAAATACACTAGTATATAAGATGATAGGCTTCCACTACAGAAAGTGAACTTATTTAGAGAATAGCTCTCCTTGCTGAGTTGTGAAACCAGCTATCTTCAAAGTTCCTGGGTCAACAACCGTGAATGCCTAGGCACTGAGTAAGATGATGGAGGATTAGCCACTGGACCAGGGGAGTGATAACTAAAACCACTTTCAGGATTGATCCCATCCACTGGCCTACAGTAAAAAGCTTCAGGCTTGATATAAGTGAAGTGTAGAAAAATATCTTTAAAACAAATAATGGTTTCCCATAATATGCCATTATTTTAAAACTTTTAATATTTTGACATCTTTTATTTATTATCATTATTGTTTACATGGAATAAAAAATTCTTATTTTTATGAAAATAGATTCAAACTGTATATAATTATGTGAATTATGTGTCTTGACTTTTAATTTAAAATATATAATGAACACCTTTCTAGGCCAGTGTGTGTATGCATATGAGAGTGGGGCAGGTGTATACATTAGCACATATATATATACAATTATACATAAAATTTGTTTTTTATATAATTAATCCAATTTATTTTCACTTACTTTTTAAACAGATTTATTGAGGCTCAATTAACAAACAGTAGACTGAACCTATTGAATGCATACATTTGTGAGTTTTGACATGTATGCACACTCACACTTAATGTGAAACCATAACCACACTACACACTACAATAAATGTGTTCATTATCCTGTTTCCTTATGCCCTTCTTAATCTTCCTCTCCTATTCCAGCCCCTGCCATTCTCAAACAACCACTGGTCTGCTTGATGTCATTATAAGTACATTTTTATTTCCTAGAATTGTTGTAAGTAGAATAGTATAATACTTATGCTTTTCTGTTTCATTTTGTTCACTCATCATAAACGCTGTTTTTTTGTTTGTTTGTTTGTTTTTGTTTTGTTTTGTTTTGTTTTTTGAGATTGAGAGTTTTGCTCTCATCACCCAGGCTGGAGTGCAGTGGCATGATCTCAGCTCATTGCAACCTCCACCTCCCGGGTTCAAGAAACTCTCCTGCCTCAGCCTCCTGAGCTGGGATTACAGGCATGGGACACTACGCCACTACGCCTGGCTAATTTTTGTATTTTTAGTAGAGATGGTGTTTCACCATGTTGGCCAGGCTGGTCTCAAACTCCTGACCTCAAGTGATCTGCCAGCCTCAGCCTTCCAAAGTGCTGGGATTACAGGCGTGAGCCACTGCACCCGGATATGAACGCTTTTAAATTTATCCATGTTGTTGCATGTATCAATAGGTTGTTCCTTTTTATTGTTGACTGTTATTCTATTGCATGCTTGTAACACAGTTTTTTTACACATTCATACATTTAAATTATTTGGCTATCACAAATTAAGATATTATAAACATCCATTTGTAAGTTTTATATGGACATATGCTCTATTTACTTAGGAGTACTGTGGCTGGACCATATGGCAAAAATATTTAAAGTTCTTGAAAAACTATAAAATTGCTTTTCAAAATGACTGTATCATTTTAAATTCCCACAAGCAGTGTATGAGTGCTTCAGTTGCCGACAAAGCCTCACCAACAATTGGTATAACCAGCCTTTTTAAATTTAGCCTTTCTAATAAGTAGGAGTAATATCTTATTGTGGTTTTAATTTGCATTTCGCTGAAGACTAATGGTGTTTAGAGTATATTCATGTACTTTATTTGCTATTCATATGTCTTGTTTGTTTGTTTGGTAAAGAGTCTGTTCGTATCTTCTGCTTTTGTTATTGTCTTCATTGTTTTCTTATTATTGGGTTTTGAGACTTATTTATGTGTAATGAATACAAGTCCTTTATCAGATACAAGATTTTCAAATATTTTCTCATAGTCTGTGGTTGTCATTTCATTATCTTTACAGTAGCTTTAGAAAATCAGTACTTGTTGATTCTGATGAAGTCCAATTTATCAACTCTTTTTCTCTTCTATTGCACTTTTGGAGTTGTATCTAAAAAATTCTGTCTAACCCAATGTCACAAACATAATCTCCTAAGTTTTCTTCTAAAAGATTTAACGTTTCAGGTTTTACATTTAGGTCCATAATCAATTTGTGTTAGTGTTTGTCTATTTGTGTCTATGGTGTTAGGGATGGTTTGAATTTCATTATTTGCATAAGGATTCCAGTAGTTCTTATGTAACTGCTGAAGACTGTCCTTTCTCCACTGAATGGCCTTTGCATCTTTGTCAAATATAAATTGACTGTATATGTGTGGATCTAATTCCAGATCCTAGTTAGTTCCATTGATCTGTATAACTTAATAACTTAGCGTAAATACTACACTGTCTTGATTAATGTAGCTTGATAATAAATCTTGAACTCAGATAATGGAAATCCTCCAATTTTTTTCATTTTCAAATTAATTTTGGCTGTTCTGGATGCTCTCAATTCCTTTATGAATTTTAGAATTACCTTGTCAATTCCTACCAAAAAATTATCCCGTTGAGACTTTTATTGAGGATCCTTAGAATATATATATATTAATTTGGGGAAAATAGACATATAAACCATATTGTGTTTTCTGATCCATAAAAAAATAGTAGTAAATCTCTCCATTTGTTTAGGTCTTTAATTTTGTAAGATGCTCTGCATAGATAATCTTTGAATACTTTTTCTTCATCAGTTAGAATCCCTTTTATTTATTTACTTTTTAACTTATAATGCTAACTAAAATCTTTAGCACAATGTCGAATAGATGTTGCAAGAGTGGACATTCCTATCTAGTTCCTGATCTTAGGGAGATTCATTCAGTCTTTCATCTTAGGAATGACGTTAATTGTAGGTTTTATGTAGATGCGCTTTATCAACTTGAGAAATTTCCTTTTTATTTTGCTAAGTACTTATCAGGAATGCATCCTGGATTGTGTCAAATATTTTTATGAATCTATGAAAATGGCCATATTATTTTTTTCTTTTTAAATCTATTTAATATTAATATGGTGAATTATATTAATTGACTTTTGAATGTTAAACCAAACTTGCATTACTGAGGTTAACCCTACTTAGTTATAATTTATTACCTTTTTTATACATTTTAATATTTGATTTTCTTAAAATCTGTTAATAATTTTTGCATCTGTTTATAAGGAATATTGGTCTGCAGTTTCTTATCTTGTAATGTTGGTCTGGTTTTGGTATCAGAGTAGAACTGGCCTCATAGAATGAGTTAGAAAATTTTTCATCCTCTTCAATTTTCTGGAAGATTTGAGTAACAGTCACCCTTCTTCAAACTTTTTAAACTTGAACTCTTAATCATTTTGTATTAGCTTAAATATCACTTTCTTGGGACATCTCATCAGGAATTCTTAGATTTTTTTACATCCTTCCTAGGTATGTGTTACCATGATCCACTATATTTTTTCTTTCATTAATGCACATGCCATCTATAAGTGCTTTATTATTATTAATTTTCCCTGCCAGACTTTAAACTTCATGAAGTCAGGGTCCTTTTCTGCGTTGCTCACTGCCTAATCACCATTGTCTAATAATACCCAGCCCATAGTAAGGCTGGAAAATTTCATAGTTAAGTAAATTAATAATTTTTTGACCAAACACTCTTAAGTATTTAATGGGAAGATCATTTTTTCCTGTGAAATAAAATGTAATCAAGAACAAAATTATACTAGTTTCTAGTTTCTTAATATATACAATTCATATGTCCTGAAATTAATTCTATATAGTCATACTGTACAATGTTTTATAGTATAGTGGTGTATACTTCTGGGTTCCCCTTGGTTTAGTTTTATTCAGTAATTTTATCAGTATTAATATTAATACTAGCACATTATATATGTGTGCACATGTGCAGGTTCACAATCTTTGTTACAGAGTTTAAAAGAATCAGAGATTTATTTTCTATCCACTCTAGAATAAAAAAACTATAGAATATATGTTGTTTGAAAAATCTGAAACAAGAAACCCTCTCAACCCCATTTTTTTAGGGGAGGAATTCTCAGTCAATATTCTCAATTTCTTCTGCATTTGTGACCCTTGTTCATGTAGTCTACATATTTCTTTTGATTTTTAGTTATTTGTATTTTTATAGAAAATGATACATTTTATCCACGTTTAAAAATATTTAGTAAAAACTTTTACACTTTTTTCAATCTTTTTAGTTATTTTCTTTTTACTTGTAGTTATATTCAGTTCCTTGGAACTAATTTTTTTTGAATTTTTGTTTTTTGTTTTATTTACCTTGATTAGACAAATACAGTATTTATCTATTTGTGTGTATGCATTTGTGCACTCATGGTTGTATGTGTGTGTGTTGTAATAAGTAGCTATTGGACAATAGTAAATGGTTTGAGAGAGAAAGCGAGGTTCTAAATGCAGACAACCTAGGTTTTTATTTAAGTTTCATGACTTATTAAATGTACACTCTTGGGCAACTTTATTTGTACCTCAATTTAATGGACTGTTAATGTGGACTGTTGGGCTGTTAATTATAAAAATGTAATAAGGGTCTTGTATATAGTAACCAATCAATAATTATTTGTTATAATTATCAATGTATCTATTGTAGTAATTTTTATCTTTATTTTCTACCATCTTAAACATTTCTACTCTTATTAACTTTCTTATTTCTTATTTTTATAACTTATTTTGTGGACTATTTCATGTTTTTTTCTCTGTTTATGGGAAATCTCTTTCAGGAAATGCAAAGAAACTTCAAAGAAAGCTGGGAAACTGAAAAGCGGAGGCAGGTAGTTCAATGTCTGGGTAGGTGTCATAGGCTGTTAAGGTTGCTATAACTGTATGTCATAGATGAGTTCACAAACAACAAAAATTTATTTCTCACAGTTCTGGAAGCTGGTAAGTCTGGGATCAAGGTACCGGGCATCAGCAGATTTGGTGTCTGGGCGGGGGCTCACTTTCTGGTTCATAGGCAATGCTTTCTTACTCTAGTATCATGTGCTGGGAGGGGAAGAGGTGAAAGAGCTCCCTTGGTCCTTTTTTATAAGGGCACTAATCCCATTTCTCAGGGCTCTGCCCTCATGGCCTAATCACTTCCCAAAGGCTCCACTTCCTAACACCATCACACTGAGGGTTAGGATTTCAGTAAAGAGATTTTTGGACAGGACATGCGCATTCTGTCTGCAGCAGCAGGACACTGACAATGCACATGAACTGTCGACCACAGCTGCAGCTGACATCACGTTTGCCTCAGGGAGTCTGGAGACCTAGATGACAGGTTATACATAAAGTTGCTTGCATTTTTGAAGTGTGCCAATAATAATGTTTTGTTTTTTAAGGATGTTTTTGAGGCATAATTTCCAGTCTTTGCTTCTAATCTTGCACTGAGGGGAAGCTCAATACATCACAAGGAAGACAATTATATTTTGGTACATATAATAGCATAACCATGTTATGAGAAATAGAAGTATAATTCTGGGTCTTCTTATTTAACAAATGATGAATAATTTTTCTCACTTATTTGACTAAGTTTATTTATGTAAAAGTGGAACTTGAAGAGTAAATAACACTTTGGTATTAATTAAGAATAGATAGAACAGATACATTCTGAAATACTTAGCATTAGTAATTTCCTGAAAATGTGTTGTCTTCTTTCCTGTTATTAGAAATAATGACACTCACCTGATAGAGAAACTTCTTATCTAGACAGAAATGATAACCCTGTAAGAAAATCACATTTGTAATATTATATTATTAGAGAGGAAAACTTGATTGCCTCTCCTAATTATCAGACTTGTAATTTTTTCTTTGATTTCAATATAAATTGTTATTACATCCTATTCTACTGAAAAGTCATTCCAAAAAATTTTGGATACTCCCTTAATATGATAAAGTTCATATAAAATTAATTATGGCAAGTAAAGAGCATATGTTTAGAAGAACAGGAAGGGGAGCAAAGTAGAGTATATGAAGAACATCTAAAAATATTTAAGACAGATGATGGATTAACACTGCTACTGGTAATAGGGAATCTTATGTAACATAAGATGTTACAGATGGTAGGAATTATGGATATGAAAGGTTTCACATTGACAGACTTTGCTAGTGTTCTTAATAAATGTCCCATTCTAGCCTTAGACAGAGTTGGGTTGTTTGAGAAGCAGCCGTGAATGGCATGTTGATTTCAACTACCTGTTATTAAGTCATTTTGCAGCCTCAAGATAGCAGGACTCTACCTGTGGAATTACAGTTTTCTGTGCACCATTTTTTTCAGAGGGTTGTCAATTTAGCATCACTGAATTCCTGTTGTTGTACATGAATATCATTGACACGGGATAGAGAGGAAGCTCTCAGTAGAAACAGCTTTCATTTCTTCTCCTGAACTCGGGCACTTAGGCATTCATTGTGGTGTTACTGAGTTACTTATACTCAGTGTAAGACAAGGTGTTAATTGCCAAGAATATGGTTTATGAAAGTCATACAATTCACATGCTAGTTGTCAGGGGGCGGGGCATAAAAGTATGATTCAACTGGAAAAGTATGATTCAATATGATAGAGATAAACACAAGTCATCGAACAGGAATGACATGGGAAATCTAACCTAGCCTGGGTCAGGTTGGGGGAAAGTCAAGAAATCTGCCCAGGATATGGCAGCTGAGCTAAGCTTTGAAGACTGGAAGTTAAAACATACAAAGGGGGAAAGATGAGGCCGCCTGTTTCTGATAGACGTAGCAGCATGTGCTAAGACAGGAAGGCATGGCCTCAGGGACTTTGTATGACTGAAACATATCATTTTTTTTTTTTTTCTGAGACAGGATAAATAATGGAAACCCAGTGAGAGGTGAGGCTATACAATAAAGTAAAAGGAGACAAGGGTGATAGGAAGATATGAAAAGATTTTAAACTGAAAACTGATTTGGTCAAATGTATGCTTTCCAGTGATTGTTCTGGCTGCTAGGTTGGAAGATGATTTGGAAAATACAGATAGAAGAGAGGAAACCAGTTATTAGTAACAAGAGAATATGTGTGAATGCTCACATAGTATTTACCAGGAGTTAGGCCCAGTGAGTGAATTACATATATTAACCTCTTTATGTGATCACTACTATCTGATATGGCTTGCCTGTGTCCCCACCCAAATCTCATCTTGAATTTTACTTCCCATAATCTCCACATGTGGTGGGAGGGACCCCCTGGGAGGTAATTGAATCACGGGGGCAGCGTCCCTCATACTATTCTGATGGTAGTGAGTAAGTTTATTGTAAGTTTATTGTACAGCCTCACCTCTCACTGGGTTTCCATTATTTATCCTGTCTCAGAAAAATAAAATAAAATAAAATAAAATAAAATAAAATAAAATAAAATAAAGATGATATGTTTCAGTCATGCAAAGTCCCTGAGGTCATGCCTTCCTGCCTTAGCACATGCTGCTACCTCTATCAGAAACAGGCGGCCTCATCTTTCCCCCTTTGTATGTTTTAACTTCCAGTCTTCCATTTTTAGAGAGGAGAAAAACTGAGGTACTGATCAAGATTCTCTCCTTGATCAAACCCTACTTGGGCTCCTTCTGAACTTTCTGTTCAGCTAGGTCTGACTTTGGACTTTTGTGTTTGTCTCTGCATTGCCCAAATTTAGCAAGAATCCTGCTAAGTCAGTTTAACCAGGACCCCCACCCTCAATATCTAATCAGGTTCCTCATCCTTCACCTCAAGGCGATGTCACCCTGGCCTGCATTCAGCAAGCATTCTATTAGGTTGGCTTAACCAGAATCCCCTCTCACCCTGATGTTTCTTCTCAGTAATTTTCTATCTTCCAACACCCACCCTGCTCCTTGACTATAAATTCCCACTTGTCCATGCCAAGTTTGAAGTTGAGCCCAATCTCTCTTATGCCTATCATAATTGCTCCACCCATTGAAGAAAGTTGGCCTTATCATCTTCAGCAAGCATCATTGGATATTCTTCTTTAGCAGCACAAAGATGGTAAGTAAAGCAGCAGATCTGGGATTCTAAAGCAGGCAACTGAGCTCCAGAGCTTGTGCTCTCAATCATTGTGCTGTAAGAACCGAAACTTTTTTATTTTTTTTTGAGACAAAGTCTTGCCCTGTCACCCAGGCTGGAGTGCAATGGTACGATCTCTGCTCACTGCATCCTCCACCTCCTGGGTTCAAGCGATTCTCCTGCCTCAGCCTCCCAAGCAGCTGGGATTACAGGCATGGGCTACCACTCCTGGCTAATTTTTTGTATTTTTAGTAGAGACGGGGTTTCACCATGTTGGCCAGGCTGGTGTCAAACTCCTGACCTCGTGATCCACCTGCCTTGGTCTCCCAAAGTGCTGGGATTACAGCATAAGCCACCACACCCAGCCCCAAGAACCGGAATTTTTATGGGCGCCCACCATGTGTAGACAGTATATGATGCACTCAGTACACTTTATCCCAATGACTTCTCACACCAATGGCTTGAGGTAGATAATTTTACAGACGAGAAATTAAGGCATAGAAAGATTGTTTACATTTCATAAAGGCACATAGCTTGTGAACAAGAGTTCACAACAAATCCAGAATGAGGATTTGGATTCATGTTGTCTCATTCCAGAGCACCTGCTTTTAATTGCTGTGCAAGGCTGCCCATGAAGAAGCAATTGCTGTAATTGCAGAGTGGTTCTAACTACTGAAGCAGAAACTAGAACTTTTACCTGATGTAAAGCCACCACGGAGGCTAGAAACTGAAGGATATAGAATGAATAAAAATAAGTGTGCCATGATCAAAATCTTTCTACTATTTCTCTTGAGGTGACTGGACTTGCCCATTTCTTTGATTGGAAACTCCCTCACTAGATTCTGAGTTTTTTGTAGAAAAGGACCCTGATTTCTTTATCTGTATACTCCCAGATACAAATTAAATGTGAGATGAGCACATTAATTAATGCTTCTCAACCTGTGAATGGTGCAGCACAGACCACAAGGCATTTGAGCAAGAAAAGGAAGCATGTCTGCCTCTTAGGATGCTACAGTGCAGGCAGACTCTTTCACAGAGAAAATGTTGGTCTTGTGCTATCCAGGATGGTAGCCACTAGGCACATGTGACTACTTAAATTTAAGTTAGATAAATAAAATAAAATTTTAAATTTGATTAGTCAGACATACTAGCCACATTTCAAATGCTTAGTAGCCACATGCCATGGCTACTATAGTAGACAATACAAACAGAACATTTCTGTTAGGGCAGAAAATTCTGTTGAAGAACATTGCATATTCGCCAGGCCTTGACATGTGTGTTCTAAAACCCCCTAGACAGCTTTCCACAAAGTGGATTTCTGAGTCCTGTTCCAGACCTGCTGATCAAAATTTCTTTGCAGAAAGCCAAGAAATCTGAATTTTTAATATTCATCTATATAATTTATTTTAAGAAACAGTGGTGTAGATCTTGATTTTCAAAATTTTTGTCTAAAACCCCTTTTGTTCAAACAAAATCCTACCTAGAATTACAGTAGGGTAAAACAACAAAAAAAATGGAACTGATTGAAGTAGTGTGGTGGTAGCCCTGTAGATCTAACTACTCACTGCCAGATACCCATTGAAAACTAAAGCGCAAGGATATTAAACTTCACATTTGGAAAACTACTGGTCCAGAACTTATAGGGGCTTCCCAGCATCTCTGAGGTTCTAATTCCCAAAAGATTGGGAAGATTGATGATCTGAAGTTTGAGTAATCAGAGCCATCTCTCTAGAGCCCAGAATCCACAAACTGGACTTGGAAAAAGGGGTCATAATTTGAACACGAGTGTTTAAACAACTAATATGTACAAAGGTTTAAAGGTAGATGTATTCTTAGTAAGCCAGGCCCCATGACAAATCACCCTGATGTTGATGAGGCATGGGGGATTGGGTTAGACAGACACTCTCTGAGCCTCCAGTTCTGCATGGTTCTCAACACACATATCCAGGTGTTTTTCTCAATGTGCTAGGCTTTGGCCCTAACTAACCTCAAACTTGTATCTTAAAGTTTGGGACACTCACAAGCTAGGGATTGATATGTCATAGAGTAAGGGAAAGAGAAAGCTTCATGAAGTGGTGAGGAGATATGAACAGAGGGTTAAGAGATGGGGACTTCAGTCAGTCTCTGATATTGGAAGATTGGAGCCAAGTGAGATTTCAGCTGAGATGAGGTATCAAACTATCACCTCAATCAAAGTACAGTTTTGCATGAGAGGAGAAAAGAGAATCCTTTACCAAGTGCATCTGGATATCCTGGCAGGTTAGCAGGACACGCCACCCAAGATCAGAATAATACCTCTTGCTGGATTACTAAGGTTGGTTCAGTTTCCTGCAGGAGCCAATGTTATTGCATTCATATGCAGCAACTCCTGAGCTTGGACTGTTATCTGTTCGTTCATGAAGTAATGTTTCTTTTCTTTTCCTTTTTTTTTTCTGAAACAGGATCTCCTTCTGTCACCCAGGCTGGAGTGCAGTGGTGCAACCATGGCTCAAGGCAGCCTCAACCTCCCATGCTCAAGAGATTCTCCAGCCTCAGCCTCCAGAGTAGCTGGACTACAGGCATGTGCCACCACTCCCAGCTAATTTTTCTAAAAAATTTTTTGTAGAGACTATGTTGCCTGGGGCGGTCTCAAACTCCCAGTCTCAAGTAATCCTCCTGCCTCAGCCTCCCCAAGTGCTGGGACTACAGATATGAGCCATCACACCCAAGCATGAACTAATGTTTCTAAATTTACTTTGCAATCTGTGAGGAATGATTAATACACAGTAGCGGGGGAGATAGGCATCAAATCATTCTCATTCTTACTCCCCAGCTTTACACAGAGTTACTGGCAGCTACACTGAGCAACTCATCCAAATATGGCAGATAGTGTCTATAATGCCACCATTGTGGCAATGTCCTTGTAGACGAGGTCTTTTATCCTTAGTAAAACGCAAGTGTGTTTGGCAGAGTGTTTCTTCCCCTGGGTTGAGCCATGGCTGAGCATTGAAGTAGATGATCATCAATGTGTGTAGTGATGTTTACTGAGTTCCATCCCTTGTCCTGGATCTTTCCAGCTCTGACATTCAATAGCATGCCTGTTATATTAAACTATAATGAGGACACTGAATGAATGAATGAATGAATGAACAAAACAAAGAAAAAATGTTATTTCTTTAAACCTTTATTCTTTTGGGGATTTTATTTGTAAACTACAGGGCAAACCATATTTACTTAATCTATCAGAATGACATTTACTTCCTTAAATTAAGAATTTTAATTAACTAATGAAGATTTCATGTGTCTTCTCTTAATGTTCATATTAGAGTAGGCCATTTTGATGACAACTTTTATAGCTATAATTAAATAGTTCTAATAGATTTAGTTAGAATTTGCAAATAATAAGGAATATTTCATCTTTATTTTATAATTCATGACATATCCAATTTAGCCTTGCGGTGGTCACCCGGCTTTCTGTGTCTTCCCTTATTCCCTTTCACAAGTCTGTGCTTTACTTAGGGAAAAACCTTGAGGTACTGATAGAACACAGCTGTAATGTCTGTGAAATTCAGAGATGGAACCACAAAGGAAATGTCTTTTCCCTGCTTTGATATGTAGGTTAACGCCACCCCACGAGGCCACCGCACATATATCTCTCACAACTTAATCAGCATTAACCTCGAAAGTGACAGCTTGGCATGTGTTCCCTGGGTTCTATGCTGGTCAGAAATGCTCTTTTATGACATTCCTGGGAGAGGGTCATTATGCTGATGTCTGTGCTTCTCAGTGCTGGGCAGTCTATACCTCTAAAAGAACACTGGTTAATTAACTGTGTGACTTTGATTTTTAATGAGTTTATATTCAGCCAAAATACATCTTGTTCTTACCTTATACTTGTCTGACTCTGCTGCTCTGATCCATTCATTCGTTCATTCAAACATTCATTTACTCTCCATTACATTCCAAGCACTGGAATGGATATAAACTGGGCCAAAGAAAGCAAGGCCACCCTCTGTTCCCAGAGGTCTGAGGACAGTGACTAAGCCCCGTCTACATTTCTTTTCTTTCCTGTGTCTTCAGTTGTCCGTCACATGGCGTGTTGTCCAGCTCTGTCTCCATCCTGGTCTTTTTCCTTTAGCATGTGGCAACGACCTGCTTACTATGTAAGGTCAGATCCCTGCCTGTTTTCTGCTATCTCCAAAACAACATACCTTTACAATTAACAAAAATATAAATCTGGTCATCCGAGACAAGAATGAAAGGACAATCTCCTTGTGGATGGTCAACTAGCTTCCTCATCCCTGATCTGTCCCAAGGAGTCCCTCTCCCATAATGCCAATTTGACTCTCTCCAGCTGGATAGCAGCTTAGCTTCCAGAGGATGGTCCCAGAGTCAGACTGCATCAGATTCGAATATACCCCAACTGGGATACAGACACAACATAAATCCGCCTCTTCCCAAGCACATTGCCCTGCAAGGGCTGCAGTTCTTTTTATGGCATTTGTAACCAACCAACTACTACCAATGCTCAGAAGCCTAAAATGTGGCTGGTGCTGTGAAAGTCAGAGTCCGAAAAGAAGAAAAAAGCCCCCAGTTTTTCTTCCCATGCTGATTTGTCCTGGGTAACCTCTTCTGAGGAAGCTGGGCACCACTCTCCCTAGACTGCTGTTTTTCAGATCCTGCAAGAGGGCACTTTGTACACACTGAGCTCTAAAGCATGTGGGAACTAGCGTCCTAAACTCTCGGAGCTGGAAGGACACTTGCAGGTTGTCCAGTGCCAGCCTTTCACCAGCAGGCAGGACAGCATGCTCCCCAAGGGGAAATGATTGTCCAAGGGCTGAGCCACAGGCTTGGCCAGAATTCCTGGTCAAAATACTCCTGTATTTGGTCAAAATATTGTCACTGAGAGTTTGAGCCATAGGTGTGAGTGTTGGCCACATCCCTAAGATTAGGAGTAGCATCTCTCAAGAAAGGGGCAGACATTCCCATTTATAATCACTTCAGACAAGAGGTCTGGTCCTCTGTCAAGAAACTAGAATTCACAAGAAAACTGTTCAGTTCCAACTATGGCCACTCTTAGTCTTCTGAGGCTTAGTTTTCTTAAATCCAGACACTGATACAGGCAAAGGTGGGTGTCTGGGAGTAGAATGCAAATACGATACTAATCACATGTTAGGAGCAGAAAGGAGGCACCACAGCCCTGGGCTCAGGCTGAAGACTGTCAGGTTGTGCTTTACACGTTGATAGTCAGTGCCCTGTCGGGAGCTGGAGCAGCCCTAGGCATCTGTGGGGCTTGTGTCAAGCTCCACTGATCTCATGACCCTGATCTCTAGCCTGGCTTTCACTCTTGATCTAATGTCTGCCTCTTCTGTCACCCACCCCCGCTCCATTGTCTTGACCTCCTCAAACATTGGCACCCCTTCAGCTCCAACCAAAGCCCTTTCCTTCCCTTCCAAGGAACACTTTCACCCCTCCCTCCCCTATGAGTTTCTCTCCCCTGAGCGCCACAGTTCTGGCTGTCTGTGCTGCTTACTTTCTCACTGTTCCAGGGCAACTGCCTTCCTGAGGAATCTTTTTTTAATTCACTTTTTACATGGATCTCTGTGTCTTTCTCCCTAGCAGTTATAGTCTTCTAGGGATATGGGGATAATGAGGCTTATAATTCTCTGTGTCTCCTCACTGTGCCAAGCCCACACATCTCCTGCCAACTCACAGTTTCCAGGCTGAGGCCCTGCACAAGACAGGGCTCAAAAATGCAGATGCACCAATTGGGACATGAAACTCTGGAGCCCCTTGCCTACAGGAAAGCAAAATGAATTGAATCTGTCACTGGCCTACCCTTCCTAGGGCTTCCCATGGTGCTCTTGACTCTCCTGGGTTGCCAATGGGGTCTTTGAAGCCTAGGAACCAAATTTCTTTTGCTGAAATATTGTGTTCCTTTATACTCAATTATTAAAAGCCCCATCTGCACTGGATACATGGGCATTCATATTGGAGATAAACAACTTTACAATCCATGCTGATGCTGATAAGTCCATTCACATAGCTTTTCCTCTGACTTTCTTGTCAGTTGCTTTCAATCCTGTTTTGTCCAGCGAAGCACTAGCAATTGTTTACGAATCAGTGTAGTTCTCATTTCTGGCATCATGGAAACCACGTACTGTTCTACGTTCTACCCACTGGGAGGATTTTCTTCACCACTGTCCTTTAGGGTTGCCCTGAGCAAGACTGTGGTGCTTCAGCCATCCATTTCTGAGTAGTACTGGCATCTGTAAACCAGTCTTGAATTGTCTCTTCCTGAGTCACCTGATCAAGAAACACCCCAGAGGCCATAGCCATGGATTGAAAGACAGAAGGTGATACAACAGGAGTCTATTCTGAAAAAGTCTGAGCCACCTGGCCATGCAACCTACTTGTACCTTCTAGACTTGTACAAGCTTTCTGTATGAAATACAGTTTGCTATTTGTTGTTAGATTGCTGTTGTGCAAGACCACCTTTATCGCTGATAAAGGTGATATGTCAGACAATACTTAGTTGAATATGGGAAGCTCAAGTCTCACAGTTGCCTAATAGTCATGGCTAGGTATTCAGATTCTACCAAGTAGAAAGAAACCCAGTAGCAAGCCAGAAGCTATTTCTCGAAAGAACAATAATTGCATGCAGAAGAAGGTAAAGATTTGTACTTGAATTGTAGAAGTTTTTGCTGTAATTCTTCCACAGATGCTTTCCAGATGCTCCATACAGTTCCCATATTTTTCAAGGCCATTTCAAATATCCATGGATCTGTTGAATCATAAAGAACAAGTGGTAGTGTAACTCTTACTGCAGACTGAACTTGCCAATGAATTTTCTACTGTTTTCTTACTCTCAAATGTGGTGGTCTTACAGGTGACTCTGACAATAGGTCAATATGGCACACTCAAATGTGATATGTGCTGCCTCCAAAATCCAAAATGCCCTTTTAAATTTTGCACCTCTTTTGTCATCCTAGGTAGTATGAGGTCCATCGACTTCTCTTTTTACCCTGGAGGGGATATTTCCTGATGCTTCATAACAGTTAAAGAAACTTTACTGAGTCTAAGATGGGGGGCCCATGAATTTTTATGGGGTTTGTCTCTATCCGCTAGTTTACATGTCTTACTAAGGCACTAAAAATACTTGTCAGTTTCCGCCCATAAGACCTAATCAATACAAAGTCATCAGTATAGGGGACATGTGTGATACTTCGTGGAATGTCAAATGACTCTGGACAGAATAATCAACATAGTGTAAAGGCAAGACTGTGATGGCATACTGTTAGCCATGCTAGATAAAAACCAATTTACTGTCATGGTCCTTGCAAATTGAGATGTAGATAAATGAATTATCCATATCAATAACGTTATACCAAGTGCCAAAAGCTGCATTGATTTGCTCTAATAATGATGCTACATTTGGGATAGCAGCTAAAATTGCAGTTAACATCTGATTAAGTTTACATGATCCAGTTATTCTCTAAGACCTATTTGATTTCAACAGAAGCCAAATTGTTGAGTTAAATGAATATGTAGTAGGTGACACCACTTTTCTTCTTTCAAGTCTTTAATGTTGTCATTAATCTTTGCAATTATGCAGTAGCGCTTCTAGTTTACTATCTTGGTAGCAAGAGAAGTTCCGGGGACTTCTACTTAGCCCTCTCTACCATTATCATCCTCATTCCTTGGGTTAGAGAGTCAATGTGAAGATTCTGCCAGTTGCCAAACATATCTATTCCAACTGTATATTCAAGAAAGGGAAATAACCACAGGGTGGATCCTGGACCAATTATGCCCACTAAGAGTTAGAGTTAAGCTAAGACCCTACCTATCACCTGTCCATCATAAGTGCCCTTTTTGACTGGTGGGACACAGTGTCTATTAGGGTCCCCAGGAATTAACATCAATTCAGAACAAACACCTAATAATTGCAAAATGTCTGAGTATTTCTACTTCACAAATGCACATTCACTCCTGTAAATGGCCACATTCCCTTTCAGAAATACTTGGAGGAATATTTATGGTATGTACTCGAAGAAATGGTTCAGAGTCTTTTCTCAAGGAGACCTGATCTCATTTCAATCCATAGTTTCTGGGGCTATGATTTGACTTAACTCTGGAAAGAGTCCTAGAATGCCCACTTTGGTGATGAAAGTCAAGTTTTCTCTCTCTCTCTCTTTTCAATCAGACATAATAGGATATTTCCTCTTACACATTTAGCAATAGTTCATGTCCTACTAGATCTTTGTCATATGAAAGATCTCTGTGGCCCAAATCAATCCAAGCCCTGATACTTCCCTGGTGCCCTTCATGATAGAGGCTCCCACTTTGTCCTTAGCAGGTAAGTGCAGTCATTTGGCCTCTTTTTCTACAACAGTCTTGCGTCTTCATTCAAATAAAGAAACACATCGTAATGGTGGCATCCCCTCTGTTCATGACTGATCTGTAAATGACAGGAACCACCATTTTTCAAGGATAAATGTGCTTCCCTTAGTAATGCATTTGTCAATGTCTTAGTGAAGGAATTATACTCCCAGCCTCCTCATGGAACATAGTTGGGAAATGGTGTGCAGGTTACACGTAATAAGTTCAGTCACAATATCTCCCCAACAATACAGGGAAACTATGTAATTTTATCCCCTTAAATGTAGCCCAGGAGTCAGCAAACTTTTTCTGAAGAGTCACATAGTAAATCTCTCAGGCTTAAAGGCCACGTGATCTCTGTCACAATTACTCAACTCTTGTTGCAGCATGAAAACAGCCATAGACAATACTCAAATGATGAAGTATCTCTGTGTCCATGTTTCAATAAAACTTTATTTATGAAATCAGGGAGCTGGCCCACAGACTGAAGTTTATCAACCCCTAATATAGGCCACTATTGAGACCAAGTTTCAGTCAACCAACCAAGTAAGCTTTTAAAGCCCCCTCTGGATGCATGAGCAAACATGTTATCTGGAATATCTAGTAATAAAAAACTTGACCCTGTCTATTCTTATATTCTATCCTCCTTAATCTAACACCCATAAAATCCACTTCTTTTCCCTCTGGTTTCTGCCAACATTTATTTGCACAATTTCAATCCTTTTTTGTGTAAGCTATTCCTACATGGACATAGAGAGATATGGCTCCAGCTATGAGTCTAATGGCAACAAAGTGTAGTTGTGGTGGGTTTTGAAGAGATTGATTACCCAGCAACACTGGGTAAGTTTATAATAAGGTTTATCAAGGAAAGGAAGGCTAGTCTACTAAGACACTCCAAGGCCAACTAATCTCAATGTCAAGGGAAACTCAGAGAAATTTGGAAGTTCAGTGTTACTGGTTTCATCGGGGTCCAACGAGAACGAGATGTTCTCATTTCAAGTTTTAGTATCCTAACCTTTCCCAATAAGTGTCCTTTTACATGAGAAACTTGTAAAGACTCTGAATCCAACTGTCATTATAATTCAGCAACTAGCACAACAAATTTTGTGTCAGATTTTAGCAATATCAGCCCTTTGGCTACAAGAAGTAAGAGCATATTTTAGGGCTACCTTGAAAGCTCCTTGATTCCCAATCTGTGACTTGAGCTGAGAGTCAAAGGACCAGAACTTGTCATTTTCTTTCTGTGGTTGCTTGAACTCATTTAGAAGAATCCATCCCACACCACAGTCTCTAGAGTCCTTGTGACTGCCACAGCAATCAAGTGCAGTAGCCACTAGAGCTCCCAAGGCATGTCCTCAGTGGGCATTTCATCACATTCAGCCACAGGTGACAGCTCTATCAATCATGATACCATTACATGCCATGGATTACCATCTCACTTCCTATTGCAAAAATAAAAAGCATAGCACTACACTCAAGGTTAAAAATAAAACAAACCAATCGCCAAATCCCATCTTTGTGTCTATCTTCTTAGACAACTACTAACAGCAATTCTGTATCAGTCAGGGTCCAGTCAGGAAATAGAAACCATAGAGTTATTCGAACAGAGAAAGTTTCACATAAGGGATTTTTAGCTATAACAGTTGCAGTTAACCTGTAAAGGAGTAAAAAATACTTGAAAGGATTCCTTAAGATTGATGGAGAACATTTAAAAAAGAAGCAAACATGGAAGGAAGGGTCTCTTCCCCAAGGTTGGACTCCCTTCATTGGGAAGGTGGGGTTTGCACTCTGCTGGATGGCCAGGAATTTCCCTAAGTCACCCCACGTTGGAGCTAGTCCACAGATACTGGACTGAGGCTGATGATCAGGGAACCATGGCTGAACACGGCAGAAAAAAAAAATACCCGCCTCAGATACAGGTAGGCTGACACAGGTGGCCAGAGACTCACAGAACGAACTGGAAAGCAAGAAATGCACCTCTGGGGTGCATGTGGGCCAAAGCTGGCAGGCAGTTAGTTACACACACTATGACTGGTAAGCTGGAAACCCGTCACAGTGCAGGCAAGGCTGGGGAGTTAGCCCTGAGTGCCCATAAGAATCACTGGGGATCTGCCACAGGGGTACCACTGAAGATTAATAGAATATGGTCCACAGGGATGCCACCAAAACTTGATGGGGCTGCGCACCAGTGGCTGTCCCCCAAATGCCACGCTCCAAGTGTATACCAGAATCCAGAATCCGGAAGAGAAGGCCCCCTCCTGACATGTTCCTGCAGCGCCCTCTACTGAAGGAGCTAAATATTGCACAAAGTGGCAAGGCGGACACGTTTACAGGGTCCCTCTCCATTATCACAGAGCAAGCAATGAAAGGTGGATGCGAAACTATAAAACAGTAAATTGCTATTTGCACAACAGCATTAATTATTATGATAGTAACGAACGTTCTACGTTTTGTCATATCGCCTGTACATTTTTTATTACCTTATTTAATTCCTCCAATTATTAACTTCATTTAAAGGATGGGGAAATTGAGGGTCAAAGGTGTTTACTAATTCAGAGTCCCACACCTGGTAAACACAGTTAGAGTTCAAATGAGATTTTTGGATGTAACATGAATTTTTCCTACTGAACTCGCTGCCTTTCATTGGGGGGACTAGAAGGAATAGAGAATACATTGATTTTCCGTAGACAAATATTAAACACCCACTTCAAGCCAGGCACCAAGTCAGGTATTGAGATGCAGAGTAGATGAAAGAGACGCGGTCTCTGCTCTCCTGGAGCTTACAGTCTAGGGCAGGATCAGCAAACTTTATCGTCAAATAGGCGGGCGGATCACCTGAGGTTAGGAGTTTGAGACAAGCCAGGAGTTTGAGACGTGGTGAAACTCCGTCTTTAACAAAAAATACAAAAATTAGCCAGGTGTGGTGGCATTCATCTGTAATCCCAGCTACTGGGGAGGCTGAACAGGAAAATCGCTTGAACTTGGGAGGCGGAGGCTGCAGTGAGCCGAGATTGCACCACTGCACTCCAGTCTGGGCAACAGAGTGAGACTCTGTTTAAAAAAAAAAAAAGATAAACATGAATATTAGTATTTTAGGGCTTATGAAGCAAAGAAGCAAAACTGAGGATATGACATAGATGCTTATATAGATATTTGAAATATAACTATTTAAGATGTAAAAACTATTCTTAACTAATGACAATTTGGTCTCGACTAAGCAGTTTATTGCACTAATAGTTTGTTGATTGCCGGTCTAGACGAAGAGATAGATAACGAAATAAATACATATGCTAGCGCAGAATGTAAGAAAGGCACAAACAAAAGGAAATAATTCTATGAGAGAAGTAATGAGTAATTAATTGTGACTAAGGAAGGACATTAGAACCAAGACCTGAAGAGTGAGTTGTTAGCTGGGCAAAGATGGGGAGTTCTGGGCAGAAGCAACAGTCCCAAGGGAGGCAAGAGCTTGGTGCATTCAAGAAGGAATCAGAACACAACATCAACAACAATCACACACACACACACACACACACACACACGCACAAACACACCCACAAAGCAGTGGAGCTGGAGTATGCAGCTAAAGGGAGAAGAATGTGGAGATAATGAGGAAGGTGGGGCGGTAACCCAGGGTCCGGTGTAGGGACCAGCCTGGAGGTAGCCATGCCTGGGAACAATCAAAAGTGGAGGGAAAGGAGGAAGACAGGAGGGGAGCAAGTGCAAGAGCAGAAGCCTGATTCAGCAGCGGGGACCTCACAACCTCCCAGTGGTGCGTGAAATGTCGTTACGTGTGTCAACCTTCAGAGGAGGGCCTGCCTCTTGTGCCCCCAACCCTCACCAGCAACATTCCTTTCAGGTCTGGACTTTGATGCATTCAAGGAGAATTCAAACCGTCTTTCTCTTTCATAGTTTAATCTGTTGCCCAGGCCAGAAAGAAAGCACAGGAAAGCAGCCAACGGCCTCCCTTGTAGAAGTCAGGGCAATTCACGGTCCTGGAGAAGGACCTGGAAACAGGAGTGAGATGAACAGGGTCTCTGCTCTGGCTCAGCCTGGATCTCACCTTTCACCTTTGCAACTGGGTTCTGATTTAATTGGTCACAGAGACAGAATCATGCCATGGTTAAGAGCACAGGCTCTAGAATCAAACACTTAGGTTCAAATCAAGCCTCTATTATCTTCCGACTCACAGTTTGCTCTTGTAAATTATATCCCTCATGAATGTCCCTCATCTTGAGAATGAAATCATTATTGTACCTAATCGGCAGGACTGCTGTGAGAAGCGTTTGGGTTGCGTGAAGGATTAGAACATTTGGAAAATAAGCGCTCAGTAAATATTTGCTAGAATAGCTGTTTCTTCACTCAGTTCTTCAATAATCACATAATACAGGCAGGAGAGCAATTATCCCATTTTAGGGATAATGTACTCAAGGCGCAACAAGATAATGGCCACTGTGTCACAGCTCATGGCAGAGCTAGTTCTCAAACTCCCATCTTCAACACTCTAAGGCTCAAGTCCTCCAACACTCAAGCCCCGGCAGTGTCCTTGGGCAAGTCACTGCAGCCGTGTGGGCCTTAGTTTACCCAACAGTAAGACAATGGGAGTGAGAATGGACATGATCTCTACATTCTCTTTCCATTCTAACCATCCAAACACCTACAATCCACTCTGGAGACATGATCATTTTCAAACTAATTCTGGTTGTGGTGATATGCTTTTCCTAGTTTGTCACAGGGACACTAAGAGACGAGGCCCAGCTCTCTAAGCACTAGCACTTTCCCAGGAAAGGTCTGTGTCAGCTGTCAGCCCCTGCTCTGTGTGCCATAAGTTCTCTTGTCATATAAAATTCTCCTTCTGACACTGTTTCCCTTTAGAAAGAAAGTAAATCATAACTTTTCACTTAAGCATTTCTGCTTCTAGTCAGACCTGCTTTAGCCTGAAGTTGAAAAAGAGTATGTTTGGTTGGATCACATTTCAACTCAGTCTAATAGATATTTGCTTAAGGGGGAAAGGGGTTGAAGAAAAAAGGGAAATGTCAAAACGGAATAATAAAATGGTCTATAAACAGAAGCAGGTTTTCTGTGATACGTTACCCCGATAAACCCGATAATGGTTCCCAAATGCACTGTCCTGGGCTGATGCCAGGCTGGGCAGTGGGGGGCTCTAGGTTATTTTTAATTTTACTGTAGCCAAACCATGACCTCATCCTGATGGAATTCTCTCCCACCAAAGAGCTGTATCGAGTTATTTGTCGGCCGAAATTCATTTGAATGTGGATTCATCGGAAACATGTGTGGCCACAGAAGCAGCCAAGAGGGAAATGTGGGGGAGGCAAGAGTGGGATTTTCAAGGAAACCCTTCCTTTTGTTTGAACGAAACATGCCAGTCCTTGCAGGGCCTCGGGCCTTTGATAATATGGGTTTTGGGCCTGCTGTTCTCTGTGACCGCTCTGTGCCCTCAGCAGCCCCAGATCAGATCCTTGCTCTCCCCCAGCACAGGAAATGCAGCTGTCCCCAGCACCCACCAGAGGCAGGCCCTGGGCAGCCACCCTGTAAAATGGATGAGAGCAGGAGCCTCAGCCAACACCCAACAAACTCACAGACAGTACAGGATACTGGCATAAATAATAACAGCAATTCCTACTCTATCAAGCACCTACCGTGTGTATGGTGGAACTGCTTTGCATACGTTAGCTCTGATCTTTACAACAAAGTAGGTGGTATGATCATTCTCCCTTTCACAGAATTAAAAACTGAGGCTTGAGATGTTAACTCAAGAGTACCTGGTTATTTAGTGGCTTAATCAAATTTCAAGGCCAAACCTGTTTTATATAAAACTTCTCCTCTAACCTCAATGCTTTTACAAACAGAAGTCTTAAAGGGATTTAAAGAAAAACAAGACACCTTTAGACTGGCAGGTCAAGGAAGGCTTCATACAGGAGTGGTATCTGAGCAAGGTATGAAGAACAGGCAGTAGTATTTGGACAAAGCAAGATATATTCCAGACAGAATAAAAGTCAGGAAGTGAGAGGAGGTATCAGGAAAATGTGAGTTGAATACTGCAAGGAGTCAAGAGCCTGGTTTGACTCCCAAAGGACAGAAGTAGGGCGTGAAATGGGAGATGCCTCATGAGAGTGCAGCATGGAGGGCATCTGAGTTTTAGGTGACTGGACAGGCTTGATCAGAAGGATCATGGGGAGTCACTGAGAAACATTGAAAAGGAAAGTGCCGTGAACCTTCCTCCAGCCTCAGATGAAGAAAAGATGGCGCGGGACATCCTGGGAGGGGAGCGGGAGAAGGAAATGGCTGAGTGGGGGCAGCCCCACAGAATGCAGAAGAAAGCTCTGGAGGACTTAATGACTGATTATATGTGGGGAGAAAAGTCAGGAAAAGATCCAGAATGAATCCCAGGTCTCTGGTATGAGTGGGTGGAGTGGAGGGTCACACACTGAAACAGGAGTGAGCTGTGGACAAAAGGAGCAGATCAAGCTTTTGAACATGTAGCTTGAGTTATGTTATTTTCTGTTGCCCCAGCTGCCATGTGGATGGACTAAATCATGCTCCTCTTTGATTCCTGAAGTCTCCTAGCACAAGCCTCAGCATGTAGGATGTGCTCAGGGAAAAACACTGAATGATAGATTGGCACCATCACCCCATTCCCTGTGGCCTGATATAAATGACCCACCTAAATAGCTGGATTAGGCCAGTCTCAACATCCAGATTGTGCAGCAGCAGAAGCACCATGTCAGCCAGCAGCTAAAACCACATTCTCAGTGCAGGCAGAACCAGAGGAGCTGCTTTCTGAGATTGTCACATGGCAATGTTTTGAGTGGGAAGGGATCTGGCATCGGCAAAGGACTCTGCCTGTTGCCATCTTCTATGCAGAGATGGATCCATTCTACCAGTAGCCATCATAGCCAAAGATTTCAAAGGACCAGGAAGAAAAGCCTGCTCAGAGCAGACGCGAAGTAGAAACATCTGTTTGAGTTTTCAATCAAGCTATTTTCCCTGCACAAAGCAAGCTTGTAGGAAATTGATTATTCTATTTCCTTCTCAGAAGTGGAGACTCCAATGTCAGGGAGAATGGTTTCCTATAAGACTACGTGTCTTGGAGTACTGTAAGTTGTTTCTAGTGTCTTTGGTGATATATGCACAGAAGTCTTGAAAAACAGGATTGAGTATCTTATTATGTCCCGGTTGGACAGAGGTCTCTCATTCCATGTGGCTCTCCTGTCTTCTGTGTCTAATGGCAGATGGAGTGTGGGTTGCTCGTTGCATATGTTCTCCTTTCTGAGTGGCCATGTTTGCCTGTAAAACCCTATGTAAACCGGAGAGCAAGAACAAGTCCCAATAAGGACATATCTGTTTTGAAATTTTTTGTTTTTAGGAGTCTTGATTACTGAGAAGATGTGCTCCATTTTAAACTTGGGTGTCTCTATTTCAGAAAAGACACAATTACAAGCCTGTGATGTGAAGTTTTCCAGATGTTAATTAGGTAAGGAAAGTAATATGGTGAACCTCCAGGTATCAATCACTCAATTTCAGTATTTGCCCATTCTTGCTTCCTCTATAACTCTCCATAGACTTTCACTTGCTATGTTTCTCCCTGAATTGTGAATTGATTGTGTCAGGCAGCAAGGTACAGTAGAGTCTCAGCAGAATCACAGGGGGCTCCACTGCTGCTAGGTTAGGGGGCCTTGATGGTAAATGTCATATTTATTTTTGTACCCCTGGGCTTACACAGGACCTAGTATGCAGTTGACACTCAAAGAATGACATGACTGTTCCGCACTAGGTGTGTGATTTTGGAAACATCCTTTAATTTCTTCAGCCTTGGAGTTCTCATTTGAAAAGTATAAACAAGAAATCTGCCTGACTGAACAGTTGTAAGCATTAAATCAGACCATGTATGGAAACCGTTTAGCACGATGCTGAGTGGTAGTAAGCTCAGTCATGCTATTCCCTCTTCTTTCTCCATTACTCTTTGGCTGTTGGAGCCTAGGCCTTCTTCACCTGATCTTAGCCAAAAGGCTGAGAAGCGATACCTAGGCCTTCTTAAGACATAGGAATTCAAATGAGTAGGTAGAAAGGAAGATAAAAAGAAAGGCAGGGTTAAAGTGATGAGGAATAAAGAAGGTGGAGACAAAAGAAGAAAAGCAGAGAACAACATGGGTTTAATAGAAGGGGAACAACAAGAGAAAAGGCTCTTCTAGATATCCTGAAATCCAGCTTCATGACATATCCGTGGAAGAATGTGGCATGTCTGAAAACGTCTCTCTTGGGTCCCTTATGTCCCCTGTTAAAAGAAAGCCAAAGGGCTTGGCACTGTTTGTCCCCCAGGAAATGCCCCTTTCTCCCCTCACTCACACCCCAACCATCCAGGGTCCTTGTGTCCTTTTCTCAATTGTCCCTTCAGAACTTGCTCCCTAGAGAGCATCAGAAGAAAGCTCCAGATGGGAGTATGAAGGATGGTGGGCTTTAAAATGGCCAGGGAGGGAAAGGAGCATGTGTTCCCTTCCTTCTGGTCTGTGTGAGGTCCTGCGTATAGACCATCAGAGTATGGGGTGATGCAAACTATGGCAGAGCTCAGGTTGCTGAGAGGTCGCTGCAGAGGGATCAAAGTGGTCGATGTACTCACAGTCAGAGAAAGCTTCTCTAGGACAATGGCAGATGTTAAGCTGTGTCTTGAGTGGACAACAAATGTTTACCCAGTAGAGAAAGCATTTTCAGAAGAGGTAAAAGTCCTATATTTGATTAGCCCATAGGTTAAGCTGATTTTTTTTTTACTTACATGCACATATTCTCATTGGAGGATAAGTATAGCATTGCCCCAATATCATGGACCTCAAATTCTTTTTACTGTCCACCCTAGCTTTGGATAGCCCAAGATTTTTGCCCCCACCCTGGAGACTAATCAACTGAGCTTTAGATTCTGTCCCATTGCCTTACTAGACTACAACTTCTCAAGCTCCAGCTCCCTAGCTGCCTATGACTGGCTATTGGGAACCCCTCTGTGAGACAACCCCTGGATCTAGAGCCTTCACCTGGCACTTTTTGCCTTGGGTAGAATTACCTGTGACCTTGCAACTCATTCCTCTAGCTTTCAAGTTCTTCTACGGTGAGAATCATTAATCTCTGTATCCCCTGCCACCAACACAGGCTCTAGTAAAATGTTGGTGTAAACAAATGTTTCTTGAATTTAAAGTAACTGAACCTTAACCCAAGGATAAAAAGTGAAAACTGCAACAGTCACCAGATGGTCTGCATTCTTCTGGCAAACACTGCCATGTGAAGAACACCCAAATATGTAAGCTGGCTTTTGCGTATTTCATCCAGATGTTCGGCTTCAGGTAGAAGCAGACGAGGAAATCCTTAATGAACAGACTAGTGTTTCTTAACATGTCTAACTTCCAGACCTCCCTGTTGTCTCCTGTACTAAGGCTGCAGCTCACTCAACATTCTTAAATGGGCTGCAAAATAAAGTGCCTTGGGTTAGAACTGCAAGCAACAAGTGAAGTGGAGGGAGAGCAGAGGTACCTCCAAAGCCCTGCGGCAGGAGTACTCCAACTGTAGTGTTGGAACAAGGAGGCTGTGTGGCTGGAATAAGATGGGCAGAGAGCAGGAAACTGGAGAGCTAGGAGTGGGGTCTGGGCCATGGCAGAGCCAGCAGTGCCTTACTGGATTGGGACTCTGAGTTCCCTGAGTGAAATGGTAAGTCACTGTAGAGTTTTGAACAGAGGAATGACATAGTATAAATTACCTTTTCAAAAGAACATGCTGACTTATTTGAGACTAGCCTGTGAGGTGGGGCAGGGGAAAAGAAGGAAAATGGGGAGAGCCCTTAGGAAGCTACCACAGTCATCCAGGTAAGAAATGATGGCAACTTGGACTGGGGAGATCATGGCAGGAGTAGTGAGGAATGGCTGAATTCTGGATGAATTTTGCCTTCTATTTCCCAATTGTCTGTGCTCTGCCTCCAGACAAATGCCCATCCAAGAATGCTGCTCTATACTAGAAACCACACAGTACACCAACAATGTGCTTTTATTTTCAATAAGTGAACAAACAAACAGATGCACCAGATCCAGAATGATCTAGATGCTGGTTCTCAGAGACACACTCCCAGATATCTCACTTTGGCTTTACCCTGCCTCTTTGAAGGCCCAGAAGCTGAAGGAACAGAAACTGTGAATTATGCCTCCAACTGTGATGTGGGACAAGAAGAGCTGTTTCCAGAAAAAAATATAGACATATAAAGAGAACTGGTTGAATTTATTTTCTGATGCTTTTCTCACTTTGTGCCAGAAACATAAGCAGAGGGAATAAAACTGGGAATTTTGATCCCCTGAATGTAATTTAACAGAGAAGTCAATACCTGTAGGGAATGCAGGTGACAATGAGGGACAAAGAAGGCTGGCTGATTGGGACAGAAACCACCAGAGGGAGGAACACTATTGGGAGGAAATGACCAGATTCAGGTCCTCACAGTTAAGTAGGATGAAGGGTCTGGTCTCAGAAAGACCACTCAGATGAGCTTGCACATCCTGGGCTCCTCAGAGTGGTCCTCTCGGCTTCCCACACTCTGATGCAACATCAAGCACTGTCTCCTCACTCAGCCAACTTCCAGTGCGCAGAGGCAATTTATTGTGTGCAGGGCACAAGTGGTTCCATCTACATTCTGATCCAAACCGTGCAGCACTCCGGTGAGGCAGGAGATATCTTCATCTTACAAAGAAAATAGAGGCCCCAAGTTTGGAAGCGACATACGAAGAATTGCTTGGCAAGTTAAAGAGACCCAGTCTGTGAGTCACGTTTGAACCTCCTCTCTTCAAAACTATCTGGGCTTCCCAGCAGGGCCAGCATACCTCATCTCTGTGAGCAGTATGAGGGAACTTGGATGGGCTGGGGTGAGCAGCATGTCATGGGTAGGTCCAAGCACTGAGTCTCTTAGCCATGGGAGTAGCAGTGCCTAACAATCATTGCTCCAGACAGTCCCATATCAAGAAGCTGGAGTGCTTGTCCTCTTGCTTCCGTTTTTGGAGAATATGAGCTAGATCCATTTAAATGAGCCATTTTGATGACTGTAAAACTCCTTCTAGAACAATAGCACCTAACCTTGGCTGCACATCAGAATCACCTGGGCAGTTTGAACAAATACTGATACCCCTTTTATCCTGAGTTTTTCATTTAATTTATCCAGGGCATTCTAGTGGAGAGTTAAGGTGAAAAAACAGTACTTTAGAAAGTCTTCTTTCAGTGTCTATACACATGTTGTCTATGCAAGAATTAGGACAACTAAAATATTTAATTATACATGTATTCAGTAATATGTAAGCTATTATAAATACTATTGCAATTTTAACATCCAAAAATATAACATTTTCCCCCGCTGTTTTGGATTCTCTTGGTAGCATAAATTTCAAAGAACAGAATTAGCTTATTGAACTAGCAGAATTAGCTGATTGAAACGTAAGAACAATTTTAAAGTTCCTGATGCAAATTGACAAATGGTCCTCCAAAAATCGTACACCAATTTGTGTTCCCTTAATTTTTTAAAAAATAGGAATGCTCATGTCCAGCTTCCCCATCACCACAGCTTTTCAGTCATGGAATGGGCTTTCTTAGGGGGTAGGGAGCTTCTCATTATTGGGGATGTTCATGTGTATCTAAAGGGCGATTTGCTGAATGTGAACTGTATGCAGCCACTCCCTGAGTTTGGGTGGGAAATGCAGGACACACAGAAAGCTTGGCTGCAAGATCCCGCCCCTGGTCCTGGCTATTTACTACTTCAGGGAGAGCCTGAATCCACAAGGCTGTTTTCAGGCGATTGATGGGCAGGTCTAGGGTGGGAAGGAAGGTTTACTATGTAAAATGCTCAGGAGAGGCTGGGACCCATCAGTGTTAGGGAAATACTGCTGGAGTCAATGTGTGAGAATGACTGTGAGCAGGACAATGAGGGTGATGAAATGGAAAGGAAGATTGTGAGCTTCCCAAAAGGCTTCCCTGGGCTTACATTATCTTTCAGCAAAAAGGTTCGTCCAATATTTCAGGTGGTTTTACCATTGGTGTTACTGACATACATTTGGAGTGGGGAAACAATTTGAAATCATTCTAAAATGTGTTGTTCATCTCTCCAAAACAGGCAGCTTGGGATAATAGAAAAAGCAGGGTATACAGAGTCAGACAGACCTGGGTTTGAAGGCTCTCCCAGACAGATCCCCTGGACTGTGTACAAGATGCCTGACTTTTCTGAGCCCCAGTAAAATGATGGTAATAATGTTCTCTCCATGTTCTTGGGAAAACTAACATGCTAATTTGTATGTAAAGCACCTAAAAAGAGACTTGGCACATAGTTTATAATCAATAAGAGGGATCCGTTATTGCATTATTAGTTAGAACATACTTACATCCTTCACTTTACGCACAAGTAATTAAATGGTGAGAATGATGGCGTTCGTGATCATTATAATAACAGTTACAAAAGCAACCTCCTACTGGGGATCTACTATATGCTAGACATTGCCAATTGTGTAAATATAACCCCTTCTATTTATCTGGCACCTTAATAATCGTCCAAGAAGTTTTACCTTTGTCAAAAAAAGGAACTAAATAAATCTTATAAAGTCAGTAGAGACTAGATCTAAAATGAAGAATCAAGTGGTTCTGATGATTTGTCTAAGGGAATAGGAAAAGTATGTTAAATTTTTTTGGTAAGAAAATTGAATCCTACTCTGCAATCTCTAGGTCTTGTTATTTAAAATATTGTTGTAGAAAATGTTTTGTTATGTAATTAAGATAAACCTTCAATTTTATCTCATATGTCTTATATGTCTTATAAAATTTGTAATATATAATATAGTTATATATCATATTAAGAAAATAAAGCTTGCCTATTGCTGTTTTAATTCCATCTTTACAATTTTTAGAATAAGATCTGATGTCAAAGATACTGTTGGAGCTCCCAGCATCTCTGGTTTTTGGGTCTTCCCCCTATGCTCCAGGAAGTTTCATTATTGACTCCAGATTCTAGCAAATTCCCAGAGCTCAGGCATTTTACATGTCTGTGGTAGGGAGAGACAAAGAGCCTGTTTCCCAGGCCAGGTTCTGTTTACACTTCCTTGATCAGGGATAATGATTTGTTTATAGGAGACATTCTGTCTTCATTAAACTCACTTCTGGACAATCAATGAAGGGACTAAGATGACAGGACACATGTGTGTTTGAAGTTCACACATCCTGCCTTGCTCAAACAGGACCAAGGCTCAGCCAAGACTTTCTTGTACTGACACCTAGGATCAGGACATCAAAAGCTCTAGTAGAATTAAGAAAGGATGACCCTTCCCAAAGGAACATAAATAAAGTCTCAACAAATGACTTTGCTAATTATTCTTCTCTGATTAGTTTAACTCAGCATAGGGCAGACCTTGCCTAGTATATTTCATATATAGTGCAGTCTGCCTTCCATTCCTATTAAAAAATCATACTTTCAGGTATTTAATAAATTAAAATCATTTCTGTAATTAAATTAGGTACTTATCTTTGCAAGCTCTATACAGAGAAGCAGCCACCAATCTTAATTGGCTTATATGCCTTATAAACTGCAAGGCTCATGCTTTAATTTGAGATTAAATCAGAATAAAAGAATTTACACTAATCTTTCCTGCAAAAAAGTGGAATATTTTTAACTAGCTAGGCATAACACTTTTTAAAACTTCTCATTTATGAAGATACTTTACAGTGCAAGGTTAAAAAAATAAGCACAATGTAGTTCCTTTGTTATTAATCACTGGTTTGCAATCACTTGTTTGCCTCATCCTAGTTTTCTTCTCCAAGCTAAAGTAGTATGGTTCTTCCTTCTAATCTGCCTTACACCTTCTCATCACCTATGTTACTTATTGCAGCCATTCTCATGGGTGTGTAGTGGTGTCTCATTGCGGTTTTAATCTGCATTCGTCAAATGGTGAATGATGCTGAGTACTTTTCCTGTGTTTATTTACTATTCATCATATCCTCTTTGATGACATGTCTATTCATATCTTTTGCCCTTTTTAAGTTATATTATTTGTCTTATATTATTAAATTGTTAAAGTTCTTTGTAAATTCTAGATAAGTCTTTTATTTGATATATATTTTGCAAACATCTCCCAGTATGTTGCTTTTATTTTTCATTTTCTTAGAATTTTTTTTGAAGTGCAAAAGTGTTTAACTTTGATTGCGTTAATTTATCAGGTTTTTTTCTTCTATGAACTGTGCTTTTGGTGTAGTATCTAAGAAATCTGTATGGAACCCAAGGTCTCAAATATTTTCTTTTATGTTTTCTTCTAAAAGTTTTTATTGCTTTAGCTCTTACCTTTAATTCTATGATCCATTTAGAGTTAAGTTTTGTGCATGGTTTAAGATAAAGGTCTGAGCTCACCTTTTTTTAATTTTTATTCATTTTTATTTCTTATTTCAATAGGTTTTGGGAAAACAGGTGGTGTTTTGTTACATGCGTAAGTTCTTTAGCGATGATTTCTGATATTTTGATGCACTCCTCACCTGAGCAGTCTACACTATACCTAATATGTAGTCTTATCCTTCACCCCCTCCCACCCTTTCCCCCAAGCCTCCAAAGTCCATCGTATCATACTTATGCCTTTGCGTCCTGGTAGCTTAGCTCCCGCTTATGAGTGAGAACATATGATGTTTGGTTTTCTATTCCTGAATTATCTCCTCAGATGAGGAGGCTTTGCTACTTGAACCCTAAAGCTATACTTAGGTCTGACATCCTCAGTTTCAACTGCATAGCAGGTGAACAAACTGATGCATTAAGAATAGAGAGGATCTTTTCCATGACATGTAGATAGTAGGAAGTATTTAAAGCAATTGCATTGGTAATAATAACCTGGGGACTAAAGGAAAGCAATTCTGTTGACCTTGTGCCCAGCCTGAAAACTCTGTTGAAGCAGCTCTCTGAGGTCTTTCCTCTTCATGAACAGATTCAATCCTTGTATTGATGAAGGTGTGAAAAATGCGTTTATTTGTTCTTTAAAAAAAAAAAGTGTTTCTGAGTGACAGACGAGCATCCCGTGGGTACTCTCCCCTCCACTTAGGCATCGCATCCAGGTTGCTCACAGTCTGGAGGGCCTCAGGGATCAATGGCAACAGCTGCAGCCAGGACAAGGTGGCAGCCTTTATTGCTGAGAACCATCTTAAGTTTGGACTTACATGTTTTCCTACTGTCAACTGAAAACAACACTGTGGTTTGAAGAATTATGGCTAAGACAATGTGAGTGGTAAATATGGAGTTAGTGTTTTAATTGAAGTCTTTATAACACCAAACCTGAGTCCTTTTTCCCTTGCCATAATTTATCATGAAAAGGCAAGTGGGTATGAGGTGTGGGGCAAGTTGGGTTCTTGCTGAGCCAGTGCCCAGAGGTCTAAGCTCCTTTGAAGTAGTACCCAGATGTCATGGTTTTTTTCCCAGAAAGAAAGAATTGGAAAGCAGCCTCACCTGCAAGGTTGAAAATTTTAGCACTTCACTCCTGGCCAGAAAAATCACTGGGAATACACAACTCCCTGTTAAGAGATCTGGATCCTAATGCTGGCTCCACTCCCAACCAAGTGACCCTGACTAAGATATTTCAACTACCTGGGCCCCAGTCTCCTTATTTACAAATTTGTGATGTCAATTTGTGGTCTACCTACTTCTTGGTGATAACGTGTTTAAAAGACAATATCTGGAGAAGGCAATACTTAATCAAAGAGGCTCTGTCATGTATATAATCTCTTTTTTCTAGTCCTAGTTCCATCAACATTTCTGGCTGGCCATGGAAAATCATCCTCCCTTCCTGGCCCTGTCTCTTTAACTGTATAATGGAAAGGATGATCTAAATGCCTTTTGGAGTTCATCTAGCTCTGAAAATTGATGGCCCTCGGCCTCTACTGGGTCCTGGCTTTTTGGCAAGGCCCAGCACACTTTGCCCATTCATCACACAGGGATGTGGTTGTCCTCTGAAGAAGAGATGAGACAAGTTTTCCCATTGAATCTGTCAGTCCAGAGAAAACCAGGGTCTCATCGCCTTCACTGGAGAACCTATGGCACTGGCCCAGGTCTGACAAAGGGCACCATATGGGTATACCTAACCAGATAGTGTGATGTAATGCCCACCGGAGACCACAGACTTAGCTTGGGGATCAGGGAGCAAAAACAGACCCATTGGCTCTAACACACTTTTACCAGAGTTTGGGCATTTGGGGTTGGGGGAAGAGGAGAGGGGCGATGGGGATATGGCAGGGAAAGGAGCTGTCCTTTAAGCAGTACTGGAAGTAAAAATGCCAGATCTCCCACAGGTTGCAAGTACGGCTCAAACTTGAAACAGAGAAATACCCCCACCAGAAAGAAGAATAATGGGACAAACAGATCTTAGAGCGAGGCAGAGCTGGATTGGAATCCCGGTTCTTTCACCCTATGGTGGTTGTGTGACCTTGTGCAAGGCTCTTAGCCTGGCCTCTGGCAGTTTCCCTCTCTATGGTGACAGAGTATCTGGGAAAGCAAGGTTCATTCTTTGTTTATTTGTTTTAGTGAGAGGAATGGCAGGTTTTCTCTATCTAGATGGCCCAGGGATCTTCTCTGCTAGGTTGACCAACTGGCTTCCCTTGGTTAGGTAAAATGATAGGAAAGTTGTCATCGATTGCTCTCTAAGAAGGAAGTTTGGGATTTTTTTTCTGGCCTATCAAAGCTGGCCCTTCCTGACACTTTGGTGAGAAGAGTTGATTAATTAAAAAAAGAACAAATAGTGGACACATTTTCACAAGGGCCAAGCAACCTTCTGGAAAGAAAAGTTCCTAACTCCAGTAATAGTAAACCTCAGAAGAGGAGTGAGGAGCCTTTTCCACAAAGGATTCTGATAAGACAGCCTTCTTAAAGGAAAGGCTCCTCACTCCTATTCTAAGGTTTACTGTTACTGGATCCTCTTTGAGGATATGAGACAGCCCTTACTATCAGGAGGGCAGAGGATCTTGGTGGTCCAGGCAGAAGGCCAGGTGCATTGTGAGGGAAAGGTGGGATCTTGTAGCACTTGTGGCTGAGGATGGATGGATGGCGCCCCAGCAGACTCAGCCTTGGTGGCCCAGGAGACAGCGTTTAGCTCAATGACTGAATGTATCAGTAGAAACTGCAAAAGCTGTAAGCTTGGGAGCACTGTGATCTTGCAGGGCCAGGCCAATAAGAGCACCACACAGTGGACTCGTCAGTCTCTCCAGAGCCAGTTTTCCATAGAAGTCCACTATAGTGCTGACCAGACTCCAGCTCTCTCTTTCATCTGGCATTTGGAAGCAGAACTAATAATCCCTTTGTCCTGAGCAAGACCTAAAGGTTTTTGAGAGGTTGTTGGACAACTGGAGGTGGGACAGGGGTTGATTTTGAGAAAGAAAAAACTTCCCGCTAAGTGGGCGAATGGACTTTGGATGATTAACTGGAAAAATTAGACACCTTTTCATATATTCCCAAGCAGGTGAAATAGTCCCTACCAGTCTGATGCATAATAGGATTCATTCAATCTGCCTATACAGGTGTGTTGAGACAATTTGTCAGTGTATCATCTGGGTCTGGCAGAATACCTGGCACATAGTATGTCATCAGCCAATGTTTGTGGCCTTAAGCTCCTGAAGTGACATAGATGGAAGGAAGGCTTGATGCCCCATGGAAACACTGCTGTCACTTCAAAAGCATTTCTAGGAAACTCTCTCTTTGTTGAGATAGGAGTATGTTGGGGTAGGAGTAGGGTTTGCAACACAGACAGTGGACAGAACTATCTGAGATCTCAAGAGGCTTATAGTGCCTGAGGAACACGTCTAATCCCTAGGAAGTTGTTCTAGGATGAGCAAATGGATGCGGACTCTATTAATTACTGTTGGGTTGTAAGAGATGAACTTCCTTTATTTACCTGAAGTGATGGGGATTATTCAGAGCTGATGAGAGTCACAGAAAGGTGTACCCATGACTGGCCCAGCATTTCCCAAGGAAGCCTGAGTTACACGGCTCATCAAAATCATCTGGCTTTGCAAGGCAGGGATGCAAAAATATTCCCACAGGTCTTGGCAGCCACAGGTTGACTATCAGGATATCTTTGAGAGGAAGGCACACAAGGAGGCCAGGGATGCCAGGAGCAGCCGGGCAGCCTTCAGAAGACGATGGACGCAGGGTAGCTTTGGGGAGCAGGTTATCTGTCATGCCATGTGGCAGCAGGGCTTCTTCAACAGTCTGTTTCTGTTGCTCCTTTTGCTAAAACCCAACCACTCTACCCTCTCCCCATATATCCCTTCTTTGCCCTGTACTTCTGCCTACTCATTCATGTGTTAGGCCCCTGTGATTTAGAGATAGCCTTTGAGTTTCTCAAGGTCTTCTCTTTTCCAGACCAAACCCTCCCACTTTCTTCTTCAGGGCTGCACCCTCCACTGGGGCTCAGTAAACCTTGTGCTTCAGACCATCCGGGATCTCCTGAGGGAGCCCCCCAGCCCAGGAGAGGGAGCCCTGAGCACATTTCACCCAGGACTGCAACTCTGAGAAAGTGCCCAAGTCTCTTTGTGCCTCAATTTTCTCAGCTGTAAAATGGAGATAATAACATGGGCTGCAAGCCTCAAAGCCGGGGTCTAAGGGAAATTTGCCTCTGCCTGGGGGTTCTGGAGCTCTGCGCTTGTAAGGGTGATAATTGGACAGGTTTATGGAGCTAGCTCTGTCTTCAGAGGCCCTTCCCTCTTGATTCTCACTGTGGCTCCCATCCTCTGAAACCTTTTCATGGTTGAGACCTGCCTCCCTGAGAGCCGGGAAGAAGGAAGGCCTTGGGATGATCCCTAAGGTAAAGTGAGTGACACAGCTGAGTTTCAAAGCGGTCACATGACTTGATCATACAGAAAGTAGCTAGCAGAGGACAAGGAGCAGGACAAGCTGTCCCACTGCATGTGGCATATCAGGAGAAACTGCCCTCTTCCACGCCGCACAGCCAAGGGGTTCCACGCACAGATTAGGAGCTCAAATGCACCTGGTTTTGATTCTTGGTTCTGTCCCCAGAACTATATCCCCTGGGACAAGTTACTTAACCCCTCAGAGCCTCAGTTTCCCTCCTTGCCTATTAGCGGCTGTGGAGACGATCAATCCCCTTCATTAAGGGATTACGACTGTACCAGTGAGGACACCTGATAGGAGTGGACCCGCTTGTCGCCTCCACGGTAACCCGGGAAACCGAGGCCGGAGTTTGGGAAAATTTGCCCAGGGCCAGGCGGCGACCCACGGATGCCAGCGGAGCGCCCTTCCTGCTGTCGTAGCGCCCCTAGATGGTGCTGGTGCACCGGGCAGCGCCGCCACGGGCCCCGCCCACCCATGCCCGCTCCCAGGCGGCCGCAGAAGCCGCAGACGCCGCAGCGGCGGGGCAGGGACAAAGGAAGGAGCGGCGGGGGCGAGGCTACCCTGCGGCCCGGTGGGACCCCTGCAATGCAGAGCCTAGCTGCTCAGCCGAGGGAGCGCCGAGCCGGGCGGGAGCGGGCGGGCCTGGGGCGCGGGGAGTGCGGGCCGCCCGCCACCACCAATGCAGGGAGCAGGTGGGCTGAGCGCGCCCGACTTGCAGGGCTCTGGGAGCCGGACTGTGAGCCCTCCTTCGTGCCAGGCCTCGCGGTGGGGGGATCCTGGAAAGTCCCTTCGTGTCACTTGCTAACCCAGGTTCCTCTGGCTTTCACCCTTTGCATGATTACTGACCCAGAGATTCTGTGCTGCAAGGGACAAGCCCAGCGCCTGGGGGAAGAAGCAGCTGTGGCGATCTGAGGGGTCCCTCCAGCGCCCAGAGCGTCAGTCTCCCCACCTGCAAAGTGGGCATGATGATGCCCGCCCCGCCTTGTTGACTTCCTCACTCAGCAAATCGTTCCCGCCCTCCTGCTCATGCCCAGCAGCGGCGCCAGGCTCTGGGACATCCCTGAGGAATGAGAGCAGCCTTTCCTCTGAAGGGGGCCCAGTGGACCGGCCAGACAGACAGGAGCTTCAGAGGCCCGTGCCCAGATAGAGCGGCTGGTGAGAGGAGAAACTCCAGGGAGGATAAAGAAAGCTTGGGGAAATGCCCTGAGAACCACACGGCTGCTGTGAGCATTGTTATTCCGCCAAGTGAGGGCGAGTGATTTTAAAGCCCTTTTCACCCTTGTTCTGAGACTGAGTCTACAGGGTGGGTATTCCCAGCTCTCACTCCACATTGCTCCTCTCAGGTGAAACAGGATTGGATGCCGGTTAACAGAAAGCTCTGAGCCAAACTAGATGCGAACCTTAGCTCTACCCCACTTGCTAACTGAGAGACACTGGGCAGGTTAATTCACTTCCCCAAGGCTGAATTCCCCCATCTGTAAAAATGGAGATTAAAAAAAGGTATATTGCTAGATTTCAGGGAGATTTGTAGTAATATGTATTGCTACATTATGTTTAGTTGCTAAGTAATGCAGCAGAGAGACTTGGGAATCAGGAAATATGGATCCTGTTTCCACCCCATGTGACTACCTGGTAGAAGGGTCTGGGAGAAGCCTTTTCTCCTTAGCTATTGGGTTACCCCTCCATGCAAGCTAGACGCATGAAGGGCATGAGGCCATCTGGAGGCCAGTGTCCCCTCCAGCCCACTCCCACAGCCTATGTGCTTACAGACAGGCTGGAAGACCACTTTGTTCCATCCCATAGGGGGAAATAGTGTAATGGTGAAGGACATGTACTCTGGGGCCGGAGAGCCTGCATACATTCCAGCTGCATCACGTTCTAGGTGTGACCTTGGGCAAGTTACCAGTGCCTCAGTTTGCTCATCTGTAGGATGATAACAGTAATAGTATAAAATTTGGCTCGAGTGGGCGAGGTGGTAGTTACAAGAAAATTCAAGCATGATTATCTCAACATAAAAGAAGTTTATGTCTTATTCATAAAATAGGCCAGGGTAGTTTCAGATGAGCAGAGGATTCTGTTCCCGTAATTCAGGGGACTCAGGCTGGCAGTTGTTGTCAGCTGTAACACTTGATTTCTAAAGAGGCCCTGAGGGAGAGGAGTATGGAGGGGAGCTCGTGGGAGCTTTAAGGCCTGTGACTTCAGGGAGGCACCTGTACTTTCCACTCCCATTCCATTGGCCAGCACCAAGTCTCATGACACCCTCCCTCAACCCAGGGGTAGGCTGGGATATGGAGCCTTGGCTGTGAGCCCAGGAAGAAGACATCGATGGACTACAAAAACCAGGCAGCAGCCTTTGTCACAGTGACCTATGTCAGAGGGTTATTTTGAGGATAACATTACTAGTTTAATATTTGTAAAGTACTTAGAACAGTGCCTGCCACATGTTGACACTACATAAATATTTGCTATTATTATTTTTACTGCTATTCTTGTCCCTTAAGAATTCACTGAATATATAAACTGGGAAGCCACCTAGAATTCCAGCCAGTGCTGCAGAACATTGTTTGGGCAGCCTCAGAACACCGCACACCCGCCTTGTCAATCTCAGCAAATTCAGGCCATGTGAGCTTCTTGCTAATGCATTTTGTTTCTGTACTGACAGGGAGGCCTGCTGGAAAATGTATCTTTCTGGAGGCTCTTTGTGTCATTCTGATGCTTGAGGAGAGCCTCTAGCTGTGCTGACTCTGGTCTTCACCTTTAAATGCACATACTGATCCCGGGCAATGGTTGCACACGCGCCTCCTCCGCTCTTCGGGTACCAGTTCTCAGGTGCTACCTCTCGCACAGTGCTACAGTAGCAAAAAGACAGGATCACAGAGGTTACTAAAAGAAGGACAGCTAACAGTTGGATCTGACAAACGCTGGTTATTAAAAGTTACTTAAGGTCCAGTGCGATGGCTCATGCCTATAATCCCAGCACTTTGGGAGGCCGAGGTGGGCGGATCACTTGAGATCAGGCGTTCGAGACCAGCCTGGCCAACATGGTAAAACCCCCATCTCTACGAAACATACAAAAAATTAACTGGGCATGGTGGTGGGCACCAGAAATCCCAGGTACTCAGGTGGCTGAGGCAAGAGAATCACTTGAACCCAGGAGGTGGAGGTTGCAGTGAGCTGAGGTCACTGCACTTCAGCCTAGAAGACAGAGCAAGACTCTGACTCAAAAAAACAAAACAAAACAAAAGTCACTTGACACCTTTGCCCCTCAGTTTACTTATCTGTAAAATAAAGTCAGGAAACAATAATGGCTGCAGAGGACTTTTTAAAGGTGAAAATTAATGTATATGAAGCCCCAAGCACTGTGTTAGGCATAGAGCACTCTCTTAATACTTAGTGGCAACTTTTGCGCCATCAGTCTTAAACTTTGACTCATTGTCACCTTTGCATTTCTGGAGTGATTAATGTGCACCACTTAGAAGTAAAATAGGTTGGTGTAAGTGGGCTGCCAGGATCCTAGCCTTTCAAAATGTCCACCCGCTTGTCCTAGCCTAGGGCCTCATGCCTCAGACACCCAAACTTTCAAGTGAGAAAGTCAGAGCTTGACATAGAGGGCACTTCTGTCAGCCTGCCTGTTCCTTTCTGAGCTCTACCCCATGGCTTAAGCACAATACTGCCAACTTGTGCCATGCTTCTGCCTTGCTAGGAGCCCTCAATGCCAAAGGCAGTAGTCAGTAATTTTTGTTTGGAGATAAGGAATGAAAGCTGTGTTAGGAAGTGATTTAAAAAAAAAACAGCATTGGTGAAAAGAATGAGTACTTTAAAATAACCTTATAACATTATGGAATCTTGACACGCAGTCTTTAAATCACTTAACTATAGCATCTACCCTGCGCCCAAAGCTGTCTGAGCCCAATGTCACCAACAGTGACATTATGTACATGCCTCCATGTACATAATTTATTGCTTTGGATTTCACTATTATTGCATTATAAGTCACATTTCCTATTAGGCAAATTATGACCCCAAGAGCCGGTGGTATGCTAAATATATGCCACCAGCTCTCCAGGAAAAATGTATATGCATATATTTTTATAACTTGCATATAGATAGATAGATAAATTGAATATGAATTTACTAAAGTAAAGTATGTATACAATAATTTAAAAATAATAAACTAATTTTCTTCATTCTAAATTCCATATAACCAATTTATTCTAATAGAAGTCAATTGCTTTCATTGATTTTTGCCAAACTCTTATATTTGTTGCCAATCTGTGATGGCTATTGATAATGCATGTAGTTTAGACATGAATATTAGTTGGTATTCTCATTTTAGTTAAGACGAAAGTGAAATAATGAAGATGTATGTTTGAATCTCATGTGTTCCTCAATGACATGAGCAAATCTTTTGCTGACCCAGAGAATTATTTTGGAATAGTGAAACAATATTTTCTCAAAAATGTTTTATGTTATTCACAATGTAACCAATAAAAACATAACACACTTTTAAGTTTAATTTGCCTTTATTAACATTTTATCCATCACTCTTTTACATATAAGTAACTAACAAATCAATAAATTGAGCCCTGATTTGTAAGCTTTGCTTATTTTCATGGTGTAAATACTTCCAACAATGACCATTTAAAGCTACCAAGGTAATTTCACTGAACATGAGATTACTTATATCACTGTATCTGGATGGTGAAAATACTATATCATGGTGTGCATTTATCTTTTCAATTTCATCTGCAGTTTAGATAATAGCAAACTGTGGTGCTTTTGAATTAGAAAGTGGTGATTTTGAATATTTATTACTGTTCATCTCACTATTATTGCATTATAAGTTATATAATTCAATTTTTCGTAATGGCCGTGTTTAACAACCAGCTCAGAAAATTTCTAAAAGTTTAAAAATCAACTTGGGAACTGGCTGTTAGCACACCACTGCCAAGAGTCTAATGTTATTTTCACTGGAAATTGCGTCAAAAAAGTACTATTTCTTGATATTGTTCAATAAAGTATAAGGAAAGAGAGAGACCAAGAAAGCAGGTAGGAGGAAAGGGAGTTGATGGAGATGTTCAGTTTCAACTGAGCAGACCTCATCTGTGCCAACAGAAACCACCAGTGTAGGCACTGAACTCTTTGAAAATCCTGCCTCAACAGAAGTCCATTCTATGTCCCAATTTTGCTTTTGCCCAGACGTGTATAACAGCTCAGCCTCTGGCTATGGCACGGCGCTCAGCTTCCCCATTCACCAACACTGAGTGCTGGCTGAAAGGCACAGAGTGTCAGCTGTGAGAAAGCGTGCTTCTTCACACCCAACTCCATCCCCAGTGCCATATCATGGCTCATTCATTCTCATTCCTAGTGTGAGAGCAGAGGGCCAGGCTGCCAGCCTTTGTCCATGGTGCCATGGTCTGAATGTTTGTGTCCCCTCCAAAATTTATCTTGAAGCCTAATCCTCAATGCAGTACCATTAACAGGTATGTCCTTTGGGAGGTAATTAAACCATGAGAGCTCTACCCTCTTGAATAAAATTAATGCCTTAGAAAAGGGCTGGAGGAAGCTTTCTTAGGCCCTTTTTGCTCTCCTATCCCTTCCACCATGTGAGGACACCTAGACGGCACCATCTATGAGAAACGAACCTTCTCCAGACACCTGCCGGAGCTTTGACCTTGGACTTCCCAGCATCCAGAGCTGTGAGAAACAAATGTCTATTGTTTGTAAATTACCCAGTATCTGGTATTTTGTTATAGCAGCACAAATAGACTTATACACATGAGCATTCTGTCTTCTACAACCATGCCTCTCTCTGTCTCAATAATGGGGCATCCTATTCCTCAAGCTCTAAGGAAATGTGAATGATGTCATGGGACCCAAAGAAGAAGGCCTTGTCCCAACTTCCCATCTGGTTTCCCCCTGAGATTCCCCACAGATATCCTTCTAGGACCTCAACCTTTTGATTCTGTGTCTTGTACTTTAGAAATGAACAGGAAAGCAATGGAAGAAACATCTAATGAGGAAAAGAAAAAAGACCAAAAAAATGAGCTGAATCTCTCCCTATTTACTTCTCATTGTTAATCAGCCCACTGGAATTCATTTTCCCCATGTGTTTCCTCTGGATTCGAGATGGAAAGGACTTTGGGGAACACTTAGTCTAATACTCCTGGCAGATGAGAAAACCCAGATCCTCAGAACACTTCCCAAATGGCCTCCATGCCTTTTCACAGTGTTGGTAGCAAGAAAATTCTTCAGAATCAACTGTTTAAACACCTTGAGATTTTCCTCCTCCTTCTCCTCTTCCTTCCATTTCCAGAAGCTCTGAGTGTGCTCTGAGTGTTACAGCCTTCCATCAAGTCTGTCCCCACTTGCAGCTCACTAGACTCCGATGCCCTCAGTGATATAAACCATGCCCCAGTCATCCCTGATGTAGTAGAAAGAGAAAAGGCTTAGAATCCACAAACGTGGAGTTTTAGCCACAGCTCAGCCTAGCTGTGTGGCTTGAGCAAGCTGTTTACCCTTCGCCTCTGAGCTCCAGTCTCCATAACTAGAGATGAGAATGACAATACTTATTACAGGGGTATTCTGAATATTAAACACAATGATACATATAGAATTCCTAATACTCTGACTGGCTCCTGGGAGACACAAAACCAATGTTTCTTTTCATGGTGCCCATATCCTTATATTTCCAGTGGATGTGGAAGAGCCTAGAGGAAAACACTCGGGAAAAGAAACTGAATAAATGAAGTTATTAAGTAATGAAAATTTGCCACCAAACCCCTATAATGTTTTTCTTCAAAACAACCCTGTGTTTTTTCCTTCACCATTCTTCCAGTGATTGTCCTCCTTTAGTCCCAATTTCTCACCTCAACTACTACAGACATTGCATGCCAAGTTTCTGCCTTTAGCCCAAGCCATGTTTCTCATCTATCTTACATGAACATCTGAATTACTCTTCCTAAAGCAGAGCTCAAGGTCAGGGTCTGTGTCTTACACATCATCTCCATCATTTCCAAAGATGTTTAGTAAACACTTGATTGATACAATACACAAAGAAGATATAGCTTTATAGATGAAATAATCAAAATATGTATTTTTAATTCTCCTCCTCTTTCATTTTTCTTCTATCCTTCCAAGTTCTTTCTATTATCACTTAAACATTATCTTCAGCATTAGCAAAAGTTTAGCAGGTATGTGCTAACAATAATAATTGCATTTCTGGTACTATAATAAGCGCTGTACAGGCTTTATCTCATTTAATTATGATTACAGCCCCATAAGGTTGAAGGAAAGATGTCATGTGTGTTCTCGGCATGTAAACACTCTTCACAGAGGTTCGGCTAAATGCCAGGCAGCAGTGGCAAATGCAGTCTTAATCACTATTTGGTACTCTGAAAATGTGCACTAGAATATGGAGGGGTGAGATAGAAATGGGCAAGAAGATTCCTTTATGGAAACTCTCTTTGTAGTTGTGTGGCCTTGAGCAAGAATATCTACAGTGGCTCTCATTAGCATCTTACAGTTGGTATAATTTATCACCACCCTCCCTTACATTGTTTAATTGAACTGTAAGTTTCTTGAGACTGGAAGGATGGGCATCTTGGTCATTACATGACACAATCATATGCATAGGGGAGGCCCCAACAACTTCGGCCCTTGCAAATGTAATAGAGGTGAAATAGGCACTGCATGCCCACTTTATGGATGAGAGAAACTGAACCTCAGGTAGGTGATGCTCCGTAGCCAGGATGTGATCACAGAACTCGTGATGTTTACTCAGGCCCTCTTCAGTTCGTTAAAATTCTCAGTCAAAGGCCCTTTGAAAAAACTACTGATCATTTTAGAAATCATTTGGAAAAATGTGGCACAACTTAGGATATAATTTCATAGGCCTCCTGAAACTTCCTATAGCTTCACAATTCATTCATTCATTTGAAAAATATTTGTTGAGTTACTTCATGTGCCAGTCACTGTTTTCAGCACTGGGGATATGGCAATAAAATGAGAAACTCAGCACTTAAAAGCCAATATTTTAGAGGCTGGTGAGGGTGGATAAAGGAAGGACAGCAAACAGACATACAAGTAAATAAATATATCAAGTATTAGCTGGTAATAAGTGTCAGGAAGAAAAAATGAATGAGTAAGAGAGGCATTCAGAGTTCTGTGGAGGTTTTATTTTGCATGGGATGCTTAGAGGAACCCTGTCTGATGAGGTGACATTTTAGCACAATTAGAATGAAAAACAGAAACAAATTATGTAGGTATTTTGGAGAAAAGAATTCCAGGTGAAGAAGAAGCAAGGACAAAGGCCCTGGAGTCTAAGCAGGGAGGAGAATGGAAGGAGACCAAAGCCAGATCATAGTGAATCCTGTAGGTCTTGACAGGGACACATTTTGCTCTGAGTTAGATGGGAAACCAGTAGAAGGAGGAGAAACAGGGTGTGCCTGGGATTCCAAAAGGACCACCTGACTCCACATGGAGCCAGGACAGGGGTGAAAGCAAAGTGAGCAATTTGGGGACTGTTGTAAAATCTCAGGTGAGAAATGGAGTTGGGTACAGGATGGTGGGGGAGGATGGTGTAAGGAATGATTGGTTTGGATACATGATTCAAAAATACAAGTGACAAGATTTGCCAATATAGTAGGAGAGAAAGGAAGAAGAAAAAAAGTAGAATTCCAAGGTTGAAATTAGAGAGCTCAAAATTATTGCCTTAAAAGAACACAGCATTTGGAGACACAACTTGTGTGAAAGCTGATAATTGAAGATATATTCACTGAGAGTGTGTTTTCTATGGAAAATGCTGACAGGTGTATAGCACTTTGCATGGACAATGGTGCCACTGTTTGGCCTTTAGTTTGCTTCAATAAGGGCTTCTCATCTCCCTGTTGTACTCCAAGCACAGGGCTCAGTGTGGGCATGAAAGACCCAGTTCCCTAGGGCCGGCTGACACAAGCAGGAGGGACTGTCACTAACACTGTTACTGAGAAGCAGTGGGTAGACAGGACTTAGCCATAAAGAAGAGGTCAACACTTGAACTCAAGGCTCTACAACAATCAACAGACCATGGTCTTTGGTATAAAAAAACATGGGTACATGCTGTTTGTGGGATGCTTTTGCCAGCTTCAAACTCAGGTCACTTGAGTGACTGTCTCCCAAAGACCCAATGAGAGGCTTTCTAGAATGTATGAGAGGAGAACCCCACCTTGCACTCTGCAGGTCAGAGGGAGGTTTCTGGGCCACCAGGAGGTTTTTAGAAAGGAGTAAAAAACTGTGAGCTCAAGGAATTTGTGTTGTATTCAAACTAGGTGAAGTGATGGGAAAACTCTCATTTAATGACCCATTTCTGTTTTGCAATGTTATTGAAGGCAGCTACCAGAAATTTTACAAACTAGATTACATCATCAGTCAAGGGAGTCATTTAATCAGCATTCACTTAGCTCCTAGTCTTCTGAGCAGATCCTGGACTCCTCCAGGATCCTTCAACCCAGTGGGGAGGGAAACACTGATCCACGGAGTATGGGCTGAATGTGGGCATGGTCAACTTTGGAAATACAGGCAGTGGGAAGTTTGGTGTCCTGAGGACTGTGAAGGTGGGGAAGACATGAGAGGACATCAACCTTCTGTCCCAGTGCAGTGGCCCCTGGAGTTCTGCTTAGGGGGATTGGGTCCTCATGAGTCACTGTTTTTGCATTATTTATTTGTTTATTCACCTAGGAAGATAGCTTCCTTATTCACGCCTTTTCTGGCATTTTAACACATCATGGCCTAATCCAGAAAGTCTAGTGTATTCTTGATGCTGGCGAGGTTGTGGAGAAAAAAAGAATGCTTATACACTGTTGTTGGGAGTGTAAATTAGTTCAACCATTGTGGAAGACAATGTGGTGATTCCTCAAAGACCTAAAGACAGAAATATCATTTGACCCAGCAACCTCATGATTGGGTATATACCCAAAGGAATATAAATCATTCTATTATAAAGACACATGCACACATATGTTCATTGTAGCACTACCACAATAGCTAAGACATGGAATCAACCTAAATGCTCATCAATAACAAACTGGATAAAGAAAATGTGGTAATATATACCATGGAATACTATGCATGCATGAAAAAGAACAAGATCATGTCCTTTGCAGGGACATAGACAGAACTGGAGGCCATTATCCTTAGAAAACTAATGCAAGAACAGAAAACCAAATACCACCTATTCTTGCTTATAAGTGACAGTTAAAAATGATGAGAACGCATGGACACATAGAAGGGAACAACACACAATGGGGCCTATTGGAGGGTGGACGGTGGGAGGAGGGAGAGATCAGGGAAAATGACTAATGGGTACTAGGCTTAATACCTGGGTAATGAAATAATCTGTACAACAAACCTCCATGACACAAATTTACCTATATAACAAACCTGCACATATATCCCTGAACTTAAAGTAAAAGCTTAAATAAAAGAAAGTCTAGTATATTCTTTCTCCGCTTCTGTGTCCTTGGACCTAGAAGAAATTAATGCATTCTGAATTTGTATCCCACTGGTTTTCCCCTTTGTCAGCAAGTCTTCATGAGTTTTCTGAAGGCCGCCTTTCATCTCCTGTGTCTACCCTTATGCAGTGGCAGAAGACAAAGGTAAGGAAAAGACTGTGATGGTCTCAGGAACAAGGAGTGAGGGTGGCGAGGTGGTGGACAAGAGCATCACAGAACCTTTCCAAGAATCACCTCCATTTGCTCCTCCAGATCAGCTCTTTACCCTTCTCGTCCCTGCTCTGTGCCCTGGGTAGTGATCTGGATGGACTCCACTATTTGACCCCCTTGCCATCAGGTTCCAGTTGGGTTTGTCAGGATATTAATGAGCAGCTTCACGCCCACCACCCCCACCCCCACCACCTCTGGGCTGCAGGTTTAACAATGCCTGAGTTCCTCTACTCTTGGCCTGGGCCCTCTCCTATCACCACAGTGCTCAGATTGCAGGGGTAACCACTCCTCTTCTTAGGCTTTCAGGCCTACAGATAGTATCAACTTTCCAATCTTGATGGTCCTTGGATGCTCCATCTTTCCTTCCTGAAACTCTTTACTCTTCTTGTACTTATGTGATTATTGCCTTTAAAGCCTGCTGGTATAAAGCAAGCTATAAATAAAATATTTAATGGAACAGATTATGTGCAAATACAGAGGAGAAAGGGCATGTACAAGATAATGATAATCCTGGACTTGGAGTCAGGGTATTGAGATCTGGGTTCTATCTCAGCTCCATCACTAGTGCTATATCACTTTGCTTCTCTAACACATAGTTTCTCAGTCTGTGAAATAAATTAGTTGAACCTTTCTGAGATGAAATATTCAAAGCAAGATCCTACCGAGGAAGACCAGAGCCTGTTAATCTGTGCAATGCAGTCTGTACACACTGCTGCCTGAGTCTCAGGTTGTGGTTGGTTGATGGGACAAAGAGATGTTGATGGATTCCATGCAACCAGGCTACTTGTGACTTGATCATCTAGTGGAAACTAGACTAGATAATTGCCCTACTTACCTGTCAGCTCATTTGTTTCTCTCTCTTGACTTCCACATCTAGATCCAAGTACTTCTGCCTAACTGTCAATAGTCCCCAAATCCAACATATTATGCAATATGTTATCCTACTTGCTACTCTGCTGAACTGCTGATCTCACTTACTCTTGCCAGTCTCACCTCAAAGCTTTTGCTTGAGTGGCCCCCAGCAGGTGGAGAATCTTCTCTTCCCTTACCTTTACTAATCTCGATCTTCCCAGTCTGCAAGAGTTCACCCAAGTACCACCTCTTGTAGAAAGCCTCCCTCCCCTGTCTCTTTTAGCCTAGCTTGATCTCTCCTCCCTCTGCTAATGGACAGTCACTCACTGATCTGTGCCAGTCCATTGGGTGCTAACTTGTACTCTGACCATTTTTGCTGTGCCAGCTTTGCCTCTTCACTTCCTTGAAAGTCCAGCCTTTCATTTGTCACAGTACATGTTGCACAATGCTGGGCGTATGATAGCATTTAATCAAATCTTGTCAGTTTATAATTTGAGGTAATGTCTCATTCATCTGGCACCTTGGGCTTTTCCAGATAACTGAAGTTGAGCTTGTCAAACACCAAACAAGTATAGTAAGCTCTTTTTAATAGACATCTTTCTGAAATGTATTTGACATTTCCAGAAATTCTGAATTCCCATCTGCCATACATAACTACGTAATTTCAAAACCACTCAGAGATGTCATTCTAAACACCCATTAGCATCCTGAGCAGTAATGCAGATCTGTATCTGGTTTTAGGTCCTTTGTCTCCTCCCTCGGTATCTTGCAATGCCAACTGTGATTTTCTTAGGACTCACATAACTGTCTCTCCTGAATGTCTTCTTCAACCATTCTTTTCCTAATTACTGTGTTTCTTTTACTAAGGTCCAGGAAACCAAATCACTAGAAGTCTCCAGAAAACACTCCCTGCACACCAATTTGATGCCAGGGAATAGTATAAATAAAGCATGACACAGGCATCAACAAGCTTAAACTCTCAACAGGCATAGCCACAATACAGAATGGCAAAGGCCATATGGAAGGTACAACCTAGAAGACAGAGCCACAAACTGTAGGCAGTAGGAAGATGTAGTTGCAGCTCAGGGAGCAAGGAAATTTGAGATAAACTCTGAGAATATGCAGGAGTTCACCTGGAAGAACAAACAGGAATAAAATTTCCAGCGGAAGAAACAGCATTCTTGAGTAATTGTTGGAGAACAAGAATCTAGATTTCATAAGGCTTTGCAAAAGGGCACGAGCAACAGTGCACATAGCCATTAATGCTAGAACTTTCAACAGCTAATGTGGGCACTCAGGGGACTCTTTTGATGAGCTCAGGATCAAAAGGTCCTGAATGAGTCAGGTTTCTGGGAAACGGACCTGTGGATTAATGGCCTCTAACTGTGCTTTTGCATGTTAGCTATTTGGAAGGACCTTGGCCATCACTGTGGTAAAGAGTAATTTTCTTAAGACCTGCAAATACAATGGTATTTCTAAAATAATTAACATTAGCCAGTGCCAAAAAAAAAAAGCCTAGATAATATTTTATGGGATTCTAGGATGTCAGAGTTGGAAGGTCTTTTATAACTGATTTCTTTTGTCCTTTTTATTGATGAGTTGGTGGTTAATTGAAGATGCAGATCAAGCATGGGCCTTGCCTGAACTAACACAGCTGGTGGCAAAGCCCAGGCACCAGCATTCTAGATCTCCTGATGCTGAATCCTCTGTGCTTATTCCCCTATGAAAACATGCCTTTTAAATCAGTGGCTATATTCACTACTCAATTTAACAAACTTGATTGAATGTATTCATCACTTAGTTTAACAAACACTGGTGGGCTGGATATGGAAGGATGAGGTCCTTATCTGCAAGTTGCTGACAATACAGTGTGAAGGAAACGTGCTTGGCCACAGCTCCTATAGCAGCAAGGCATCCCCTGGTGTTCTAGGCACTGGTAACTGTCTGCATTGATGATTCAGTCACCCTTCCCTGTCATCTTTGAGTTGCTTCCGCCTCTGAGCCTGGTTTCTCCAGATGCTTCTGGCATTGTCAAATGCCATTATCCCCCTCCTAGGATGATCTCTCTAGGCTGACTCTCCTTTCTCATTCACTAGGGGTCAGTTTCCAGACCATGGCTTCTCCCCTCAGTGTTTTTGCATCCCATAATACACTTTTCGTGTTCCACCTCTGAACGTACACAATGACTTGTGGTTATCTTTTCTTATATAAGAACTTTAAGCTAAAAGACAAAGAATGGGTCTCTTTAAATTCTAACTTCCCCTTTCCCCACCTCACTCTCCCTCGTTTGAGGACACAGTGAGACAGCAGCCATCTGTAAGCCAGGCAGAGTCTGGAACAGTTACTAATGCAGGATAGTAGAGGCTCAGTGTATATCTGAGTTCAACTGAGTATTGGAAAAGGAAATGAAAGACAAGGAAGCCATATTGTCTTTAGTGGGATGAGGTTCTGAGCTCCTGGGTGTGGAGTGGTACATTTTGCCATCTAAACTTATAAAGAGCAGTGAACACTTTCAAAGGTGTTGTTTAATTATGGCTTTAGAAATATTTATTGGAACCCATTAGATGCTGGGGATAGAATAGTGGATGAACTCACAAGGCTCCTGTCGTCATGGAACTGACGTTTCTTGGAAACAGAGGTACTTGCATACATACATAACATACATAAATATTTTGATTTCCACTACATTGTCCGCACATTGGTAAATGCTGAGAAGACAAATGAGTAAGGGAAACAAGACAGAAAATGATAGGAAGTTCTATTTTAGATAAAACGATCAGGGAAGTCCTCCCTGAGGAGATGACATCTAAACAGAGACTTGGATGTGGTGAAGAATTGGTCCTTGTGGTCTTGAGGGAAGAGTGTGCCTGGCAGCCAGGTGGGAAGTGCAAAGGCCTTGAGGTGGGAGTTTGCTTGGTGTGTCTCAAGAATAGCAAGGATGCCCATGTAGCTGGGATAGAATGATCAAGGAGAGAATGCCAGGAGAGGGTCAGACGGAGGTGGGGGCCAGGTCATGAAGAACCGTAAGTTGTAACAAGAGAGTCAAGGATAGAGAAAAGCATCTCTGGACCAGGAAACCAAAGCCTCAGATTATAGTATTTTCTCTGTCACTGACTTCCTGTATGACTGACTGGACATCTAATTTCCTGTCTATATGATAAAGGAACTGGAGGTGATGACTCTAAGCACCTCCCAGCCCTATATGATCTGGGGACCTTGCTTCTGCATTTTTGACATGCCCCTAGGATAGACAGGGGACACTCAGATGGACACACAGCCTTTGGTGTGCATTTGCAACAGGAATGACAGCATGGGCTGTCCACAGTTCTGAACCTTCCAGCAGTCTCTTTACAGGCAGCCAGAGAGGTGACAGTTTAAGACACTTAAACTCTTTCGACCATAGACTTTCTTTAACAGTTTGGTGTGCGTTTGCAGTGAATGTCATCTATCAACAGAAGTTATTAAAATTCTGGAGGCACTTCCCCTGGTGGGATGTCACTGTTCGTCCCTTTTTATAATGGGTGAAACCACATCTTTTGCAACTTGTGCATCATCCATGAAGACTTTCTTTTTCTAATGATCAGCTGTCACTCTGTCTTTGTAAGGTGGGTAATGGAATTATTTTTAAAGCTTTCATTTAACAAGCTTGTATCTTGTAAAAGACCTGCTTGAGAAATGCAAGCATTTTTAGATAGGGAAGTGACAACTGTCTGACATGAAAAAAATATCTTTCTTACCTGTCCTTTTAAACATGAAAAAATCAAATTCCCCTTCCCTATGACAGTGGTTTTGACTTGTGCTATATGTTGTACAGGACACAGCTAGAGTGCATGACTAGGAAGGACACAAAGCTATTTCAGGGTTAGGCTTAAAGGCCTTTTAACCATGCTGAACAAACTGTCTTCAAACAGCCCTTCCCACTCTAATATCTTCTCCCCCTTAGCATAATCTTCCCTTAATCTGTATTTTCTATTTTGCAAGGACAGATCAGAAGATTGTCAATGCCATTTTAATTGCCATGTGCCTTTGACAATAAGGCCCAGAAAGGTCTCACTGAAAATATGTGCAGCCCCAGAAATGGGTTTGAAGTTGCATGCAATGATTTAGAGGATCATGTTATCTATCAGAAGAGAGGAGAGTGAGTGTGTGCACACACTAGTGAATTCCTGTGTGCATGTGTGTGTACGTGTGTGTGACTGACTTCCATCTGTACTTACCTATGCTGGACTCTTTGTCTTGTAGGTCTTAATTTTTTATTTTTAAAAATCCAAGGTTGAAATTGATCTCAGTAGTTTGGACTCAGAAATGATTTCGGTACTACAGTTTAGGTCTTATCCAAGTGTTGTATTTCTTTGGGATTAAATACTATAAGCTGTATTTTTTTAGTTTTTATTTTAGGTTTGGGGGCATATGTGAAGGTTTGTTACATATGTAAACACGTGCCACAGGGATTTGTTGTACAGATTATTTCATCACCCAGGTACTAAGCCCAGTACCCAATAGTTATCTCTTCTGCTCCTCTCCCTCCTCCCACCCTCCTCCTTCAAATATACCCCAGTGTCTGTTGTTTCCTTCTGTGTGTTCATAAGTTCTTATCATTTAGCTCCCACTTATGGGTGAGAACATGTGGTATTTGGTTTTCTGTCCCTGTATTAGTTTCCTAAGGATAATGGCCCCCAGCTCCATGCATGTTCCCACAAAAGACATGAACTTGTTTTTTATGCCTGCATAGTATTCCATGGTGTACATGTACCACATTTTCTTTATTCAATCTGTCATTGATGGGCATTTGGGTTGACTCCATGTCTTTGTTACTGTGAATGGTGCTGCAATGAACACTCATGCCCATGTGTCTTTATGATAGAATAATTTATATTTCTCTGGGTATATACCCAGTAATGGGATTGCAGGGTTGAATCATATTTCTAATCTTTGAGGAACTGCCATACTGCTTTCTACATGGTTAAACTAATTTACACTCCCACCAACAGTGTGTAAGTGTTCCCTTTACTCTGCAACCTCACCAGAATCTGTTATTTTTTGATTTTTTAAAAATAGTCATTCTGACTGGTGTGAGATGGTATCTCACTGTGGTTTTGATTTGCATTTCTCTAATGATCAGTGATATCGAGGTTTTTATCATATGCTTGTTGGCCACATGTATGTCTTCTTTTGAGAAGTGTCTGTTCATGTCCTTTGCCCACTCTGATGGGGTTGTTTTTCTCTTGTAAATTTGTTTAAGTTTGTTATGGATGCTGGATATTAGACCTTTGTCAGGTGCATAGTTTGCAAATATTTTCTCCCATTCTGTAGGTTGTCTATTTGCTCTGTTAATGGTTTCTTTCATTGTGCAGAAGCTGTTAAGTTTAATTAGACCCCACTGCCAATTTTTGCCTTTGTTGTGATTGCTTTTGGTGTCTTTGTCATGAAATCTTTGCCCATTCCTATGTCCAGGATGATATTGTCAACAGGAAGTTGTTTTCCAGGATTTTCATAGTTTTTATAACCTGTATTTTAAAATGTTCCTTCCTCATAATAAAATGATTAGAGGCTGCTATGGACTGAATTATGTCCCCTCAAAATTCTTATGTTAAAAGCCTAGGCCCCAAAGTCACTATGTCTGGAGATAGGGTCTTTAGGAGGTAATTAAGGTTAACTAGGTCCTGAGGACGGGGCTCTGGAGTTACAGGAAGGTATCTTTCTCTTCCTCTTTCTCTCTCCCTCTCTGCTTCTCCCCCACCCCTCTCATGTGAGTACACATTGAGAAGGCAGCCCTCTGTAAGCCAGGAAAGGAAGAGGTCTTCACCAGGAACCAAATTGCCCGGCACCTTGGACTTTCCTCCACACTTTGAGAAATAAATTTATGTTGTTTAAGGCACCCAGCCTGTAGTATTTTGCTATGGCAGCCTAAGCAGACTAAGACAGAGAACTATGAAAAAATATCAAAGATTTTATATAATCTCTTCAAAAGTTTACAATATTTAAAAAAATGATTGGGTGTTTCTGGTTCATAATGGATACCTGAACATGCATATTGACCTTCAATTTCTTCCCAATCTCTGTTGGAATACAGAAAAATAAACACCAGGGCATAAAATAATAATGTCAAAAAACAAAGTAGGCACACCAAAATACTGGGAAATTTAACTAACTTTTGAAAGTTGAAAAACAGATTAATTCAAGTAAGTGGCTAATCCATATTGAAGAAAGTAGATAACAAAAACAGAGAGGAGAAGGATGTGTGGGAGGCAGGGGCTGCTTTAATTAACAGATCCCTAAACAGGTTCAAAATTTGAAGTTGGTGGGTAAGAAAAGCCAAGAATGAAGGAGTCTTATCTACATTATTTAATCAAAAGGCTCTTTGTGGACCATCTGAACTACTCAACCTATACAGAGAAACCTGTGTGACTTGCCTCTGGGCAGAGAGCACTCCCTACCACATGCTATAGAAATGGAACAGGTGCCGTGAGTAGCCTTGAGGGCCAAGTGTTAGAGATGTCCTCAGAGTAAAACTCTTATTTGACAGGCTGGTGGGAGGTGGAAAGGTGCAGGCAGGGCAGTCTTCTCCCGAAGTTCAATCTGATACTTGCCAGTCAACATGCACACACATACACTCACACATAGTTCACAATCAGTTGCCCCCTTCAGGAGAAAGGCTTGCTGGGCAAACAAACCTGCAGAACATTGAAGGAAACCCATGGCAGCCATCTGTATTAATCAAGGAATTCTTCATTCATAAATATGAATGGGCACCTAAGATTTGCTCCACACCTGGACGGTGGTGGTAAGCAAGATAAGAAATGAAAATTACTCATCTCTTGAAGAGGAAATAAAGTTAATTCAGAGAGCAAACGAGAATGTAAAAGTATAATTATTGTTAGATAAATTTTAAATAACATTAAAATTTTTGCCAAAATGAGAATCACTAAAAAAGAACACTTGGAGAATAAGAAAAAATGTATTTGAAATTTATTTTAAAATCATGATTGGCCAAAAAATATAAAAAATATGAAAGATAAAAATCAGGAATTTCTCACAAAAAGTAGAACAAGCATCAAAAATAGGTAAATGAAAGAGAAAAATTAAAAGATAAGACCAATTCAGGGTATCCACAATACGGCTAATAGATGTTTCAGAAAAGAAGAACAGAAAATAAAAAAGAGAAATTTATCAAATAAATAATAGAACAAATATTTTCGGCGTCAAAGACCAGCAATTTCTGTCGCCCAGGCTGGAGTGCAGTGGCGTGATCTCCCCTCACTGCAAGCTCCGCCTTCTGGGTTCACGCCATTCTCCTGCCTCAGCCTCCCGAGTAGTTGGGACTACAGGCGCCCGCCACCACGCCCGGCTATTTTTTTTTTTTTGTATTTTTAGTAGAGACGGGGTTTCACCATGTTCGCCAGGATGGTCTCAATCTCCTGACCTCGCGAACCTTCCGCCTCGGCCTCCCAAAGTGCCGGGATTACAGGCATGAGACACTGCGCCTGTCCTAAGACTAGCTATCTTTAGGTTGCAAGGACCACTGAAGCTCAAGCAGAATGAATGGAACATGATCCACATTCTCATGTACACATCCTAGTGAAAGTTCAGCATGTTAAGAACAAAAAGGACGAGCTTAGATGCTGAGAAAGAGAGAGAGAGAGAGAGAATTAAACAAAAAGAAAAAATTAAGCCAAAAAGTGATCAGTTTCACAACCGACTTCTCATCAACAACATGAGAAACGAGAGAAATCCTAAAACATTGTGGAATAAAGACATTTTCATTTACATAAGAACTCAGAAAGTTACTTTTTATCCACTCTTTCTGGTGATAAAATACTTGAGGGTATTGCAGCAAGATCATAAACACATACACACTGAAAAGAAAGACATGAGATTCAAGAAAGAAGTCCAGGATTAATTTTTATTTAATCTCAATCAGACAACAATGTAGTAGTTGGGAAAGCAATCAGTCCAAATAGGACCACTAGATAATTAATATGATTAATTTAAAATATAGATATTATTATAGATATTGTAAATAAGGGATATGTTTCTTTGATAATCAGGAAAAAGGCAACTAGAAACACTAAGATCAATATAAAACTATATTGTAAATTTAAGAGTCAAACATAAAGCAAACTAAAATGTGTGATGCTTCAAAGTATTAAAGCAAAGAAAAAAATCACTCTGAATATATTGCTTGGATCATTCTCTTTTAACATTAAAGTATTAGTGACAAATAATTCTATTTTCTTTCCATCTTGGTCCAGATAGCATACTTGGTCTAGCACTTACTAATATTGATATGTTCAAATATTTTAAAAATTGTTTATTAGTTTCCATGTACAGATCAACCTATAGACAAAAAAAAAATCATTATAGTAGGTGATAAAATGTAATTACATTGTGAACCTGGACAAGGTAAAAGTAATTGTAGAGCTGCCATATTTGACTGTGGAAAGTGTTACATGAACAAAAGACGGTGGGTGATAATTTTCTCATTCTATCACATGAGAGAAGAAATTACCACAATTTGATAGAATAAAAAATAAAAGTTGAAGTATATTATTTAAAGTAACTAAGTGAATAAATAAATGAATAAAACCACAATAATAATATTTAGAATTATGGAGCTAACGATGAGAATAACAGAAATCAGAAAAGGTTAAAAATGATTACCACTGGGGAAGGGCATTAGGAAGTGAATGACCTTTTTTTTTGTTAACTCTTTGCATCTTTTTGAAATTTTTATCATGTGCATGAGTTAGTTTTGAAATGATAATAATAATATTAAAATATGAAATGGCCCCGCTCAAGGAAGGAGGGACATGACATTTATTGAGCCTCTGATATGCTGGAAATACACACATCATCTTGGCTTACTCATCATGAAATGCATACAACGTGATTATTATCTTAGCCTGCTTTTTCTCGTTGATACAATTTAGATGATACACTGTTCAATAATTGATAGTGCTAAAGCCAGGGTTTGATGGCAGCCTCGCCATGTGCCCTTTCCACAGCTGTGCAAGCCTTCCTCAGTGCGGACCTCCACACCAACCAATGTGCTGAAGCTAAAGAGACTCAAGTTCTAAACCTTTCTATATGATATATGCCTTTGAGCACTTTGTGCGTCACCTCAATTTTCTTTTCTTTTTTGTGTGTGAAATGAATGAATGTGAACAGACAAATGTCTAGGACTTTGTATTTCTTAAATGTAATCTGTTATATATACACACACATGGAAAATTACATGCTTTAGAATTAGACTTACTAGTTTTGGAACTTTGGGCGGGCCACTTCACTTCTCTGAGCCTGTTTCTTCATCTACAAAGGAAAGTCAGTAATTTCACTCTAATTTCTTCATTATTATTTTCATTTTGCTTTTTTTGTGTGGCCAGTTGGGGGCATTGTCTCCCTTGGCATCGGTCAGCCAATAATTTGTAGTTGTGCAATGCCTGGCATCTGGAAGGAGGACGTAAGAGGCTGTTTGTTACCAAGCTTCTAATTCAAGAGCAGAGCATCCCCTCCTAGGTGAAAGGATTGTAATACAAACTGTTCATTTAACTTCTTAGTCAAACAGAAAGAAAGACTGTCCTTCCGAGAAAATAATGATTTCATAGTTGCATGAGGTCAAAATAAAAATAATGCAATAACTGGTCTCAAATTGACAAAGGAACCAAATTGGTGATCTTCTCTCATAGATAGAAAATCATAGACTGGGCATGGTGGCTCACACCTGTAATCCCAGCACTTTGGGAGGCCGAGGTGGGTGGATCACTTGAGGTCAGGAGTTCGAAACCAGCCTGGCCAACATGCAAAACTCCATACTAAAAATACAAAAATTAGCTGGGCGTGGTGGCGTGCATCTATAATTCCTGCTACTCAAGAAGCTAAGGCACAAGAATTGCTTGAACCCAAGAGGCAAAGTTTGCAGTGAACTGAGATTGCACTACTGCACTCCAGCCTGGGTGACAGAGTGAGACTCTGTCTCAAAAAAAAGAAGAAAGAAAGAAAAGGAAAGGAAAGGAAAAGAAGAGAAGAGAAAAGAAAAAAGAAAAGAAAAGAAAAGAAAAAAAGAAAAGAAAAAGAATCTTCAGAGATGTAATTTCAATTGTGCTAAAGGTCCCAGGACTTAAGGAGGTCTGGGCTGCCTGCTCTAGGTATGGCAACATACAGAAGTCCCTGAGAATGCAGCCTCCCTGACAATTGTATTTCCTCCTAAAATTGTCATTTGGATTTGTGTACAAATGTCTCAAGGCCTTCTTCTTTTCTCTCTTCTCTTAGGCTCAGATCTGACCCAAAAAAAGAGGGGGATTTAATTAGATTTTGTAGGTTAAAGCTCTCTACACCAAAAACTTAGATAAGAATAGCAAAAGAACAATTGGTCCCTCACTGCATTTCTCAATGAAAGTGTAGAAGAAGACATGTTGGAGGTGTTTTATAACAGCATCAAATAAGCTAATTTCACCCGGTCTCAAATTTATAGATTGCTGTCCAGACTTCCAAAGCTGTGGCTAATGAAGCCGAATGATCAAAAGGATGCTTAAATGATTAATGTGACTTTTCTCTTACACTAACATAAGTCCTCTACCTGAGATATTTGGAGTTGATGTTGTACATAACATTTGGAATAATGAACAAGCTTTGGATGTATATGGAAGTTTCTTAGTCAAACTCAGAGGCAATATATAGAAATACTTACTGAATTACATGCCTACAAGATGACAGAATTTGAAGGGACTTTGAGATCATCTGATCACATTGGCTCATTTTAAAGATGGTTAAACTAAGGTTAAAGTAAGTGACATAGTTTTCCCAGGTCCACAAATTTTGTTTGTGTTGTAAAAGGGCCCAATTAATTCACTTATTCATCTATTTATTAAAGTAAGAGATATTTATTGAGCACCTACTTAGTCCTAGTCATAATGTCAGGCCATTGCAAAGCAGATAGGGATATGAGATAGTCTTCCACCTTCCAAGAGCTTCTGGTCTGAAGGGGAGGCAGGCCTGTTTCATTTCCAGCACAACCTAATGACGTCTAATAGAGAGACGACAGCCAAGTGTTCTAGAGCACAGCAGAGAACTCTAATTCTTCTGAGGGGCTGGGAAAGTCCTCATAAAGAACATCCTATTTGAGTGTGATCATGCCAGATAAGATGGAGGGGAGAAAAGAAACATTTCAGGTGGAAGAAACAATATCATCGGTATTTTTATAGTTCAAAGCAATCATAAAGTGTCAGTCACCCAGGTGGGATCCTGGGTAGCATTCCTATCCAGGTAGGAGAAGGGGCCTAGATTCGAAAACTTCTAGATTAAAAGCACATCGTGTCTCAAAAAAAAGAAAAAAGAAAAGAAAGGAAATGTGGAGATGAAAAACTTGGGTGTGAGCCAGTGCATATTTACAGTGACTTCAGCACATGACAAGGAAATCAGAGCAGATCTTGAAGGTAACGAGAAGAGGCCATTTCAGGAGATCTAACATTTGTAGGAAATTTTTCTCCAGATATGAGCTCTGTCTGTTGCTCTCTGAATCTCTTCAATGGACCCCAAACATTCACAGCTGCAATCCCTTAAAAATGGGACTAAAGAGTAAATACCCTGGAGGGTAGGAGCCCAGGGACATATAACTTTTTATAAGAAGGTACATCCGTTAATATACAGAGCATGTCAGTACCCGCACCCAATATTTGAAAGGAGCATTTTGAAATTCTTCCTTTTTAAAAATCTCAATGGAAAACATCAAGAAAAAGGGCTCTGCATTAATGTACAAAGATCACCATCTTCTGCTTTCCTAGAATTTGAAAGAAGAGATCTTTATTGCTGTGGGGTTATAACCACAACACTAAGCATAGTTGGGAAATAGTATTGTGTAGTGTGACCTAGGAGTGGGTCATTGTTGGGAAATCATATTGTGTAGTGAGCCTAGTGGCTCTGGAACCAGGCGGCTTTGGTTTAAAACCTGCCTTGGCCATTTATTAGTTTTCTGAACATAGTCAAGCTGCCCAACCTTTCAGTGCTTCAGGTATAATAATTATATTTACCTTATAGATGTTTTGCAAGTCCTTACATATGCGCTCAGTAATATAAAGCCTGGCACATAATATTCACTCAATATTTTTTCTAACATTATTATCATTATTTTATTATTAATTTATTATTCTCTCCGAAGTGCTGCAATGACGTTTTTCTCCTCCAGTCTCAGTTATGGTTAAATTGATTGACCAGCCAGTGACCACAAGATTTTGATCTTTCATCAAGCATTCCAATATTATACACCTTGTGGAAGAATCAGACATAGTTTTTGCCTCAAGGAATTTATAATCAGATTCAGAATATTTAACGATCATCTTTCATCCTTAAGAAAGTAATATAAATATGAAAAACATGAATCTCAATGCTCTTGTTCTAGCTGAAATCTCCCATTCTCCTTCCTCTTTGCTTATCCAAATTCTAGTCATTCCTCAGTACCCAGTGCAGTAGCTGGGTGTATCAGTCAGGGTCCAATCAGTAGAGGAAAATCACACAGCAATTTAAACAGGGAATATCTAAAATAAGAACTTATCAACTACAGTGAGGGACTGTCTAGTTAGAAGTAAAGGGAGCATCAGAGAATATAGGAAGAGCAAACACAAAGAGGAGTCACTACACCTGAGACTAAGGTAGAGCACCCAAGCAAGAGGTTCCTCAGGACTGAGGTCCAGACCTTATTGGAGAGGCCAGTGCTCACAAGACGGAAGAGAAGCCATTGTGTTGCCACACCAGCAAAACTTGCTGGAAGCCTGCCCTCTTGGGTGCAAGGGGAAGCTGCTCAAGGAAAAGTGTTTCATGAGAGACAATTTGCTATAAACACATCTGAGGCTGGGAGTACCATGGGGTGCTAGCCCTGGGTGCTGCTGGCCTCCATGCACTGCAAAAGCTTTGCATGCCATAGGAGACTGCTGCTGTGAAAGCCACCCTGAAGGCAGGAGATGGTCCTGGGGAAGCTGTGTGCATGGCACGGACCTACTGAGCAAGCAGACAGGGACCAGGAAACAAAAGACTTTTCTCCTACAGCCTCTCTCCACAGATCTTTAATGGTAAAACTTAGCCTCCATTTCCTTTAACAAAAGATAAATATTTAAAGGGTTCAGCTCCATTTTCACAGGGCAGGCAAAAAGTGGGTATTTCGAACTAAGAGACAATAAATTGATAACCAGAACAGTCCACGCTGTGACTGTTCAGCTTCCGTATGCAATTCTTGATATCAAGCTGATGTCTGTGCAGCTGTAACTTCCACTGATGCAGTCTTAGAGTTGACCTCCTGGACCTCTGAGAACATGTCTTCTACACCATGTTAATCGTGATACTTAAACTTATCGATGAGCACAGAGCTGAGTAGGACCCAGAGAACTTCAGTATAGACAGCATTTCTCTGGTCCTGAAGCATGCTATCATGGTAGGGGCCTTGACTGTTGTATTACATTGGTGATTGGTGACTTTTATTAAGCTTACTTTCAATTAAAACTTTGAGTAATGTTGTTTTAAATCCACACTGCACCCTTTTCTGACATTTGTGTAGTCTGGGCATTCATTTGTTTAATCAATGAATATTCATTGAATGCCTATTCTTGCTAGGTGAAAAGGGCTTCTTCCTCTCTGTCTGTGGAGCTGATGCCCTGGCTGGGTCCTTAGGTCCTTGCCAAACCCTCCTTGCAAAACTCATCCTTTCCAAACTTTGGAGGCCCACCTTCTACCCTTTGTAAAAACTTACATCTTTATCATTATGGAAAGTGAAGATTTTCCCTTCTCTACCACCTACTTAAGCTTTGAAACCTCTCTGAATAATCATAAGCTACTGTCATTTCCAGTATGATTGGGTCTAAATCCAATGAGATTTATCCTCACAAGGGAAAAAGTGTATAGGAGGTTGGAGTAAATTATCTGTGCCTGTGCCCGTGCATGCTTTTTCCATTACTTCAAAGTATTGTAAAGATTTCTGGACTTGAGCCAGAGATTTCTCGCCCCAAATTTAAAATCTGCCAGAGGCCCAAGAATAGGATCTTTAGTGCTGGAGCAAATACATTTTCACACCATTCTGATGTGGAAGTGGGATTTCAGGAGAGCCAGAAAGATTCCAGGGTTCAGGAAAGAGGAGAGAGATGGCTCCAGGCAATGGGGCAGAGTGGGAGAAGTGGGAAGGAAAACAGGTGATTGTCGAGGAAGCGGAAAGAGATTTTGACCACTTCAGAGAAAAGGACTTAATACTCTGTGGAGGGAGACAGAAAGTCTAGCATTCAGAAAATATCTTAAGGTTACCTTACCCTTGTTATTTTTCTAACACTGTCTAAATTGTGAACTGTGAAAGTGTGTAGGTGTTTGCCTGAAGAGCAAAATCCCAACCCTCTGTGCTTTTATTTTTCTGCGTCTTCAAGTTTCTTTTAGGGAGTCAGGTGTCTCTCCTTTTTGCATAGCAGCAATAGCACATAGCAGGACGAATTTCCATTACACCTGGCTGATTCTCCAGGGGCCCACATTTACCTCCAACAGAGGATGTCATAGAGACCCTGGCCACACTGAGGTCTCTACATCCCAGGCTTCCCATTGCAGCAGCATCTACGGATGCTTGGTTCTTCCTAGTTTCCTGCTCAGCTCTCTGAGATAGGAGTGAACGTTTGTGGTAATTAAAACAGTGTGAAATTTGCAGTGTCAGGAAACACAGCTATTTTTTTTTCATCTGCCAACCATCATGCTATTTATAGAACTACACTTCACCATTTATTTGCTGGGCAATGACATCGAGAAACAAATATTAAGCAAAGACGCCAATTTACTCCACAAAAACATCCATTATCTTTATCACCAACAGAGACTGAAAAACAATCAATTAGAATGCTTCACTTGGGAGTGATTAATTGAATTGTTAAATATCTAATATTGGAGAAGTCATCCTGGGAGTCTAAATATTAATTCATGTAACAGGTAGGACCTATTCAAATGAAACTGCAAATTGATACTACTTAGTGTGCATCAGATCACATTCATCAATGGGCTCAGGTTACAACTCAAAATTCTTCATTCTGAAGCTACTGTATTTGAATTGAGCATGTTCCATAGGAAGAGCTATCCTTTCATAGAAAACGTGTTCATCATGAAACATTCGTCTCTGTTTCCTAAACGCTCTATTATAAGAATATCCTGGACCGCACATGGTGGCTCACACCTGTAATCCCAGCACTTTGGGAGGCCGAGGCAGGGGGATCACTTGAGGTCAGGAGTTCAAGACCAGCCTAGCCAACATGGCAAAACCTTGTCTCTACTAAAAATACAAAAATTAGCTGGGTGTGGTGGTGTAATCCCAGCTACTCTAGAGTTTGAGGCACAAGAATCGTTGGAACCCAGAAGGCAGAGGTTGCAGCGAGCTGAGATGGAGCCACTGCACTCCAGCTTAGGTGACAGAGTGAGATTCTGTCTCCAAAAAAAAAAAAAATTCCCCTGATAATGTCCATAATCAACACAACCTAAGATGCACAATTACACAGTCACATGTGCACACACACACACACTATTCCCAGCTTTTAAATACCTACAAAACTTAGGGAAGTGTATTCCTATAAACAGAACTTGCAGCCCAAGTAATATCATTCAGCCAAAGAGCTGAGAGCACAAAATTCTTCTCCACTGTTTATCTTAACAGTCAATTCCTTCATTTGATATACTACATTTGTATTACATGCCTATAACCATAGGTTCTTAGGAGATACAGATGTGAAGGAAATGACTAATAGCCTCAAGGAACACAGTACAGTGAGGAAGCTAGGCCTAGAGACTAGTCATGACAACACAGGTTGATAAATGCTATCACAGGGATATGTACAGGGAGTTTTGGGATCAGCACACAACTGGCATGTTGGGTAAGTCTGGCGGTGGACTTAGTTAAGTGAAAAAGCATGAAAGAAGGGCATTCCAGGCAGAAGCAGTGCCTATTTCAAAAGACAGAGGTTTGAAAGCACCTGATATATTTGGAGAATACATTATGTGCAGAGCATAGAATTTGAGGTGGAATGTAAAGAACTTGAGAAACCAAAGGACTCTGCTTACTGTGCTATGAGCGTTGACCTCCTTCCTGAGAATGCTGAGAAGCTCCTGAAATATTTTAAGCACAGCAGTAATCTGATGAGATTTTAGGGAGATCACTCTGGCCCTAGTTGGGGCAATAGATGGGAGAATGAGGGCGGGATGGAGCATGGGGAAATGAAGCTGGGAAGAAACTGGAGAAGAGAAACCAAGTAGGGGATTTTTGTAAAGAAATGAAGCAGACTGAGCTAGGTGACCAGAAGAAGAGGAGGCAAAGGTGTTAGGAAGAGAGAGCTGACAAGCTGTGCATGAGGAGGAGGTTGGCAGTACCCAGGTTTCTGGGTTGCGTCAAGAGGTGCTTCTTAAAGTGATCAACTCATATGAAGAAGGCAAAAGGAAAAGCCATTCTAGGAGAAAAGATGGGTTCTGGAGATGTTGAAAGTAGTTGGATAAATACACATCAGAGTCTGACGAGGTCAGACCCAGGGGACAGACGCATGCACTTCCTTGAGCCTTCAGATCAGACAAAGGCATCATCCCACCTTCCACACTTTCACTTCCGAGACAGTCTTCTGCTTGGTGGTGTGTGGGCTGAAGGAGGATTCTCTTTCCTACTCTAACTCCTCCTGAAGTAGGTAAACTGAAGACACTTAGACCTGGAGAGGTCACCAATTGGCCCTAGATCCTTTCACGAATCTGAGGTGTAGCTGATGACTCCCCCCTCAAACATCCCACTTTTAGAATGAAGACACTCTTCTCAGGAGGACTGTGTAAACAGAATAGGATACATTACCTCAAAAATCCAGTTGATTTTTAATCATTTTAAAAATTTGTTTAGGAGGACTCTAATTTTAAAATGCAGAGGATTGAGAGAATACATTTCTTCTTTTCATTTTAATCAAACTGTTCTCCTCCTCATTCTTTCTTCCTCATTAACCTGGGCCATGACCTGTTCTGTGGCCAGGTGGAAGCTCTCCCAGGCCACCCATATGGAAGGTCCTTGGCAGTGATGCACCAGCCTCACCTTCCTCCCTGCCAAATATCAGTCTTTTTTTCTCTCTAAGCCAAATGACCTTCAACAGAAATCACTGTTTCAAAACTCAAAGTAAGGACAGGCTGTCTGTGTTTTGCATCTGCATATATCTACCCCAGTAATAGAGAAAGTGAGGTTCTTTTGGCTAAGAACATGAACTCTGTGAAGTTGGTCTTGATTTTATTTTGCTGAAGCTTTCAATGCCCCCAAAGCACTGGAAAAACACATCCATTCAAAGATGGCCCTGGGTGTGGGGTCCCACCATCTCCAGTTTCATTGCATGTTTTTCCAAAGAGAGATTTAAAGTTCTCACCCTCTCACATCAAGAAAGCACACTTTATAAGTAAAAGAGGAGTGGGGGCTGGCACTGAATCCAGTTTCAGTGTTTTGTGTCTTTTTCTGAAATTGAGAAGAAGGTAAAGACAAACATTAACATAGTCATGAAACAAATTAGGCTAGGATGGTGAAACTGGGAGGCTCTCTTTTAGATCTATGCTAAGCAGCCACCTTTACTCATTCCTTCAAACATGTATTGAAAAGAAAAGCCAAGTTCTGAATTTAGAGTCTTAATGTTCTTATACTCTTTTGCCCCAGCAAATTTCAATTCTGGAATTATATCGTTGAGAAGTAGTCATAAAAGTAAGAAAGGCTTTTGTATGTGAAGATGTTCATCACACTGTTGCTTATGGCAGCAAAAAGGACAGGGAGTAAAATACTGTGGCCACAAAATATTGTGGCCAGGAAAATTATGGCATAACGCCAAATAAGGCAAGATTACAAATGTTTATTCTGTATGCAGTTCTGAACTATTAGGAGCAAAAGCTTGAAGGACACACGCCAAAATATCTGAGGTTGGTAGCATTATGGTTTTCAAATCTACAATGAACAACAAAAGAATAGTACAAGAGTGTAAGAGCTTAATTTTCTGTGAAAAAAAGTTCAACATTAAAAAAATCAGCAACACTCTTCAACATTGAAAAATAACTGATTAAAAATAGAATGTGTATGCAATGAGGACAATCAATTTCTTCTGCTTTCAACAGGGTAGAGTCCAGAGGAGTGGAACACTTGGTGATAGTCCCAGAGTATGATATTTTACCATAGTTCCAGAACTACAGGAGATACTCAGTGCATATACACACTTCTTACCACAAATTGAGCCAGATACTAGGATCATGAGAGGGAGATGAGGGGACTCAGCTATGACTGAGTCATAGTCTAAGGTGTTGGGATATTAGTCAAGACTAAAAAGGACCACAATGCATGAGTCATGAGAGAAATGCAACCCAAGCACTCTAAGGGGAGACCATACTCCACAGGCTTTGATGGCTAGAAATGACCTGACTTGAAATATAACTTTTACAAAGAAGAGTGTGAAAAATCATGTTTAGCAGTTCTTACACCTTGCCCAATGCCCAGTATAGAGCAGAAACACAATACAAAAGGTTTGTCAAACTGCTGACCAGCATGTAGAGCTCTACTGGGTTTGGCAGGACTATAGACATTAAGGGCTAGGATTAGTATTTCATTCTGTAGTCAATGGATACTCACTGGAAAGTGTTTGAGGAAGTGAGGGGTGTGAGCTTTGTTTTAAGATAAGATGTTTATGTCTGTGTCATAACAAGCAGAAGGGATTGGAGGAAACAGGCTGAAGACAGATGCTGCAGTGGGAGTGTGGAGAGATGTGAAGGCAACAGCAGGAATAATGATAAGATTGGTTGTGAGGTACTGTATAGATGAGATGGATAGGACCAGAGATGCACCTGAGAGCAGGAGGAAAAGGAGAGGAAAATGGTCATGTGGGTGCCAGATAGTACTGCATAACCTCTCCTTTTGAATTTGAGGTACCTGCGTCTGCCAAGAGTAGCTTTTCCATTTCACAACCATCACACTTTCCTGTGAGTTCAGAGTTAATGAAGACATGTGGATGCAAAAGGAAAACTTGCAGAGCAAAGTCATTGCCAAACAGGTGAGTTTCCTCAGGAAATTATGAAGGGGTCTCTTTCAATTTCCACTCCCACCCATCTTTCACTGGGTTCCTGTCACAGGCTGCAAGAGCTTTGGCAGAGGGATCTCACAAAGCTTTGATCCTTTTATGAGGCAGCTCGTCGGGACTTGCGCTTGCGGCACCCGCCTCCTCCTTTCCCGGGCCCCTAGCTCCCATTCCCAGCTACTCTAACTACGCTTTAGGAATCCATCACATACCATGTATGTGTAACTTCTGGCCCAGGTGGTCCTCCATGGTACAAACAAACCTGGAATCTCCCTGAATAAAGTCAACCTTCAGCTTTGCAAATATACAGGGGATATTTTTGCTTGCCTATCTGGAATCTCCTTCTCCCTTCATTCCTGACTTTTATTTTGATATCCACCCATTCCCCATCCACTTCTGTGCTTTAAGATAGCTGACCTTACTCAGTTCCCAGAGTGGGTGTGATTGGTTCAAGTAATTCCCCTGATGGACTCAGAAATTGTAAGGCTACATCTTGATCCAGTGAGACCTGAAACATACTTCCTGATGTTTCTGCAAAAGAAATTTCTTCACTCTAGAAAGCCACCAGAAGAGATGCTGTTTCTCTCTCTCTGGACAAGGTTTTGATCAGAGTCCCAGAACTGTTGCAGCCATCTTGTAAAGGTTGAAACTATTGCACAGGGAAGGACTGAGAGAAAAATGTAAAATCCCCTTCAAAATTTAAGTCAGTTTGAATTGACCTGAAGATGTTTTTTAATAAGTACCATCTTGAAAAATCAAACACATACTTTTGTTGTCAAAATAATTGGGGGTGGGGGATGTTACTGACATTTAATATATGGAGACCAAGAAGCGAGATGGAATTTGTGGGATAAGTCTGCATTACAAAGAATCTTCCCTCATATTGCACAATTTTTTAATGACCCATTAGACTTCCAGGTAGGTGAAAAACTCCTTTATTATCTGAGCCTAGAGCCTAACTCCATTTTGCACATACATTAAGTGTTTTTACTTTGTATCCCTTTTGATACACACTGAATTTTCCACTGTTTAAATCAGGGGAAGATTGTGCTTTTGTTTGAAACACTTTCAAGATTTGTTCACCTTTTCAGATGATCAGGTTACCAATGATAATGCCACTTATGAAGCTTGAGTTGCCAAGAAAATATGTTTCTATTAGTCTGCTTTTATTACCACATGGTGATTCTATCTCACAGTCGAAACTCTTGATGACTCAATCATGTGTTCTAGTGCAATTATGAGACAACATTTATATATTAATACATGCACGTCTTTCTATTATATATTACTGTCCTTTCATTTCTCCACTATACTACTTTTAGGGCATGATATATTTTTAATTATATGATGGATGGGTTAAATTATCTATGAGCTCAATCACAGAGTAGTAAAGGAGATATTACAAACTAATTAAAATTAAAAGGTGGTGTGTGTCTGCTGGGAGGAGGATGAGAGGACAGTCATCCTCCTAAAGAATCCTAACTGATATAAAATTAGGCCTCAAGAAGTGGGAATTTTTAAAAGAAAAGGCCCTCTAATGGAGAGTTGGCTCAATGGTTAGAGTGGGTGAAAAAGAATGCTAAGACTCCTCTAGGTCAGGCTGGGATGTTAGAGGTGCCCGGTTTTGCATCTGAAAACCTTTAGTGGTATCAACCTTATACTTACTTTGGAATGATGATCATGTACCTGTAAAGCAGTAGACTTAGAGGAGGTGGTTTAAAAATTCAGAGAAGTATTGGCTGTCTTGCAGCATTCTGTCAGGCCTTAGAGGAAAGAGAAAAGTCTTCAACCAATTAGTGTGTAAGCAGAGTGAGAAGGGAGGCCTTTACTAAGGGAGGCTTTCTCCCACTGTGGATTATAAAGCCTGGAAATACGTAGTCAGCAGAATTGGAATAAGCAAACACTATCCCAGCTAAAGTATGCAGAGAAAGAAGCAGAAAAATGAGATATATGAAGATAAAATGTGGGTCCAAACAAGCATGATCCCCTGAACTTCCCCTATTGGACATTCTCAGTCTGACAGGGAGACACCCATACTCATGGTGAAGAGGTAGCTGTGATGCAAGCAGTGACAAGGACCCAGTATCAGGACCTTCCCAGCCCCATGTGAAGCTATTGTCTCACCTTGCCCAGATGCACATAACTTGTGGAGTCCAGATCTAGGAGAAGCAGGGCTAAAAAGAGCTAGATGTTGCTTTTTTGTCTAAGGCCTCCCTACCTGGCCCAATTTTCTACCTGATCTTTTATCTAAGGCCTTCCTTTCTGGTCCAAATTTCTCTTGTTCCTGGGAACTTTAAACTCCTAACAGTTTTTATATTTGTCCTCTTCAAATCCCTTGTTGAAATGTATCTGCAATGTTGCAGGCAGGGCTTAATGGGAAACATTTGAGTCATGGGGGCGGCTCCCTCATGAATGACTTGTGCTGAGGTAACGCATTCTCACTCTATTAGTTCAGGTGAAAGCTGGTTGCTTCAAGAGTGGTAACTTCTCCCCCTCTCTTGCTCCCTCTCTGTCTCCATGTGACACACCAGCTCCCGTTGCCTTCTGCTGTGAGTAAAAGCTTCCCGAAGTCCTCACTAAGAGCCAAGCAAGATGCCAGTGCCATGCTCCCTGTACAGGCTGCAGAACCACAAGTCAAATAAATCTCTTTTCCTTACAGATTGCCCAGTCTCAGGTATTCCTTTATAGCAATGCAAAATGGAATAATAGAACTCATCTAGGGAAGACTTACAGGGAAATTGATTGGCATGTGGCCACAATGGGACCCTCATTAGAGTAGGGTAGCCATCTCACTAGTCATCTGAAAGAACCCACACCTCTGGGATAGTAGCTCTTTCACTTTATCAAGCCCAGAGATGTGTAAACACTATCCATCAGCAATTTAATCGCTGGCATGTACATTAAAGAAATGCAAGTCCGTGTGTGTAACAGAACATGTGCACAAAATGCTTATAGACACATTGCTTGTGAAAGCGAAAATGCAAAGTACTCCTTGCCTGGGATTGAGAGGACCCTGAAAACAGGCAGAGGAAGGAATCCCTAGTAAAGTTACCCGTGACATCGTGCTTCTATTTCAAGCGTAAAATTATTTTCTACAGCCTTCATTGACAGATTTTCCTGATGGTGACCATGATCGTGATTCTTAGAATTTATAAAACACACAGGTGACCAGTCTCTAATTTGAGCTTCACTACAATCCTACAGGAGAGAAGCAGGATTGGAGCAGTTTTTCCCTAATTATAGAGGGAGAAAGCATGGCACAGATAGGAAAAGCCCAAGAATTTATGGCCAGCAAGTGAGAAAGCCTGAACACCAACTGTTTCTTCTTAATTCAAGGCTATGCATGGCTTTTCTCCTCAATCTTGTGCCTCTCACCTGAAGCTTAAAATTTCAGGTATATTACATTCATGTCTATTACATCTATATAACCATATATTTTTATTTGGGATTAAAATGTTTTTACTATATATTAACACTTTCTCATCTTCTTAGAAGAGACTTTTACTTCACATAAACTAATCTTTTCCTGATGCCTCTTGTTTACCCTGTGGATATATATTATCATGGTGTGAGGAACCTTAGATCTAGACTTGCTCTGGACTTTCTTTTGATTTTGTCTTTAAAGTCAGGCTATCCATTCTCCAGCGGGAATGGGGTCATCTCCACACTGCATTGTCCTACATTGCTTTGAACTGAACTTGTAAATAGTTGAACTTGTAAATAATTGCATGCTGATTAAAAATTATTAAGGTCATCACCTCACATTTTGTACACTCACGTTTTTAGACTCTTTAGAGTGTGAAGACATGTTCTTGCAGCATTAAGTACTTCAGCTAAGCCTTGGCTTTAACTCTTAACAGGTAAACAGGAGGTTTGAGCCCTTTTCCTCTGTGAGGATGTTCCATGAAGGAAAATGAATTCACACTCTTTCATGCCCCCATCTCTCAGACTTATCCCCCTCCTGACCATTCATACAGGATTAGGCTCACAGTAAATGTCCCAGTGAGCTGCAGAGGAGCATGGACAAGCATGGGAGTTGGCTGAATTACCTGCAGCCTTGTGTAAGTCTCTTCACTGCTTTTAGTGTCAGTTTCCCCCTCCATCATATGGTGATGTTATCACATACTTTCAACATTGGGAGGATGGTGTGTGATTTAGGTAAGACACAAAGCTGAGTGCCTAGCAGAGAGCTGGCACTCCCTACGTGATGGTTTTCATTTTCTCTCTCCCTCCTTCCACCCCTTACAAACACACACTTGTGTTCACATCCCACACCATTTCCCCATTTCCCTTGTATACACACACCATACACACTATTCCCATGGCTTTTGTATCTTGATGACATTGTCTTCAAAAGCAATATCACAAAACTCTGCCCTCTCTTGTCACAGCAAACAGAATGAGGTCAGATGTGGTGGTTCCTCAAGGCTGGCTCAGAGCATCAGTGAGGACAATCTCTCTGGATCCAACCAATCTTATGCAGCTGAAATGAAGGCAGCCAACCACTGAGCACATGCGGTTTGTGGTCCAGCCAGAGCAGTGCTTTCATTTACAAAAAATAAATTGAATTAATGAGTGTGTCACTTGGTAATCTTAGATTCTTCAACAAATGAGTCAATAAGAATAATAAAATATTTCACAGTGAAATTGAAATAATAACCATTTCTGTCAATTTATTTTTTTATTTTATTTTGTTTTTTTGAGATGGAGTCTCGCTTTGTCACCCAGGCTGGAGTGCAGTGGTGCGATCTCGGTTCACTGCAACCTCCGCCTTCTGAGTTCAAGCGATTCTCTTGCCTCAGCCTCCCAAGTAGCTGGGATTACAGGCATGCACCACCATGCCCAGCTAATTTTGTATTTTTTTAGAGATGGGGTTTCACCATGTTGGCCAGGGTGGTCTCAAACTCCTGACCTCAGGTGATCCACCCACATCAGCCTCCTAAAGTGCTGGTATTACAGGTGTGAGCCACCGTGCTTGGCCTGTCGATTTATTTTTATCACATGGTTTAATAGGTTATTTTGAGCCTAGTAAAGGAGATAGAAATAAGACACTCAAAGAAATTCCAGAGTCTTTGTCTCTAATTAATTTTTTGGCTATGAATTCTACTGCAGAATGCTTTGTGGCCTTGTCTTTTTATAAATGAACTGAGGAAGCAATGGCTGAATAACTTGAAATTCATACTACTGGCCCCATTGAAGGATTGATCTGCCTTTACTTTATGCAATGAAAGAGTCTGGAGTAAGATTCTGTGTTAGTAAGGATTCTCCAGAGAAACACAACTAACAGGGTATCTATTTATCTATCTATTCACACACACACACACACACACACACACACATATCTGCACACACATATATCTATATACGTATATGGAGATTTATTATAAGAATTGGCTCATACAGTTATGGAGAACAAGAAGTCCCACAATCTGCTGTCTCCAAGCCGGAGAAACAGGAAAGCTGGTGGTGTAATTCAGTTTGAGTCTGCAGACCTGAGAATCAGGGGCTGATGCTGTAAGTCCCAGTCTGAGTCCATAAGCACTAGAACCAGGGGCATTGATGCCTGAAGGCAGGAGAAGATGGGTGTCTCAGCTCAAGCACAGACCAAATTTGCCCCTCCTCTGCTTTTTTTCTTCTATTCATGCCCTCAATTAATTGGGTGAGGGAAAGTTTCTTTTCTCAGTCTAGTGATTCCAATGCTAATCTTTTCTGGAAACCCTCAAAGACACACCCAGCTTCTTGGCCATTCCTAGCCCAGTCAGGTTAACACACAAAATCAGCTCTCACAGATTCCATTGCCGATGTGAGACATAGTCGAATAAAGGAAAGAGTACCTGGCAGTGTCAGGAACAGGCAGATTTGGGACATGTCCCCTGTTCTATTACTGGCTGTGTGACATTGGTCAGAATCCTAATCTGAGATTCCATAGAATGTAGCTAGCAACTTCTACCTTGTGGATTCACATGAGTATATAAAAAACAATCAAAATAAAGCACCTAGTACAATATCCTACCATCCAATAGGCACTCAAAGTATTAGTTATGTTATTATCATTACAATTATGGTTTTTTCATCATTATCATTTTCATGTGAAAATTTTCCCTAGAGTCCAGGTCCTGGCTCTGAAGATGTCTCTTCTAGCATCCTCCTGCTCTGATCCTCTGGACTTCCCCAACACCTATAGGCCAGGTGACGCTCACGTCACCTTGCTGGTTTTACGTCATTTCTGTGTTGTTTCCCACTGCACAGCATGTTAGTGCCATCTCCTTTACTATAAGCTGTACCACTTAAGAAAAGGGAAACTTCATCTTCTGTTTCTCCTACAGTTCCTGGGAGTATGTCAGCACCTGTGCCCAGCCAAGATTTCAAGTACACTGTCACGGGCAGAGCTTGCCCTTGAAACCAGGAGACCACGCTCGGAGCGCAGTGTTCCTTCTTCTGCGTCACACTACATTTAGGGAAGAACATCACCAACAGGGATGTCTAGAAAACTCCAGGACTTGGGGATGTTAAACATGGGCCTTAGGGATCCAGGAACAAGAGCTTCTTTAGAAATCAGCCTTAGCTACAGATAAATTTCCCTTCTTCCCCTAAACGCATTTCCACCCACACCCTATGCACATGAAACAATACACTGGGTCTTTGCACAGTAATGCCATAAGGTATATTATGCTGGAACACCTACATTAGATGGAAAGTCCAGTGGGGAGAGGACATGGTATAGGAAGGGAAGGTTCAGGAGAAGTAAGAGAGAAAAGAATAAGAGGCCCAGATAAGCCAAGGGAAAATGATGGGCCGGTTTCATCCCAAGCCCTTGGAATGGTTCCAGCCCACCAAACAACTCATCATAGGGAACACAGAGAGGCCCAGCCATGCTCAACTGTACCTTGTCTCTGATACTCACCCAGAGAACCTCCTACACATCTTTCCTCCTACTGTTTCTTTTTCTCAGTCTCACTGTCTCTCCCACACCTTGACTGTTATCTGATTCCTCACATAAGCCTCAGGCCCTCCTTGTTTTGACAACCCATTTGGACCTTTTCTCCAGTTTAATTATTCACAGATCTCAACTTGCACATCCCCAAACACCTCCCTTCTACAACTGTGGTAGGAGATGCTCTCACTACTTGCCTGAACCCCACAGGACCTTGGTGTTTGCTCAGCCTCCCCTGGTAACGGTGGGGAGTTGTCAGGGGAGGTGGAAAAAAAGAGATGGGAGGAGGGAACAGTCTACTTAATTCAGGTGTTATCTGCAGTCAGAAGCTTTAATAATCTCTGTATGGATTAGAGCTGGCATTGATTTATAGTTGTATGTTAAAATGTTCAAACTCATGACTCTTTTTTTAATTATTCAAGACTTTATGTTTTTAAAAGCAGGTTTAGCTTCCCAGTAGAACTAAGAGGAAGGTACAGAGATTTCCTCCACACTCTCCCATCCCTACACATGCACAGCCTCCCCCATTATCAACATCCCCCACCAGAGTGGTACATTTATTACAATCAATGAGCCTACATTGACACATCCAAATCACCCAAGTCCCTAGTTGACTGCAGGGTTCACTCTTGGTGTTGCACATTCTACAGGTTTGGACATATGTAAAATGACACACATCTATCATGATGGCATTGTACAGAGTATTTGCACTGCCCTAAAATTCCCCCTTGCTTTGCCTATTCACCCCAACTTTCCCACTCCCAACCCCTTGCAACCACTGATCCTTTTGTCATATCCATAGTTTTCACATTTCCAGAATGTCATACAATATATACCCTTTTCAGATGTGCTTCTTTCACTTAGTAATATGCCTTTAAGTTTCCTCCATGTCTTTTCATGGCTTGCAAACTCATTTCTTTTTAGTGTTGAATAATAATCCGTTGTCTGGATGTAGTACAGTTTACTTATTCATTCACCTACTGAAGGACATCTTGGTTGCTTCCAAGTTTTGGCAACGATAAGCAGAACTGTTATAAACATCCTTGTACAGGTTTTTGTGTTGATATACGTTTTCAACTCCTTTGGGTAAATACCAAGGACAATGATTGCTGGATCTTATGGTAAGAATATGTTTAGTTTTATAAGAAACAGCCAAACTGTTGTCCAGAGTGGCTATACCATTTTGCATCTCCACCAACAATGAATGAGAGTTTCTATTGCTCCACATCCTCACCAGCCTTTTTGATGACTTTTAATTCTTAAGAATTTATTTAGTCCTTTCAAGCAAGAAAACATGGTAGAAATTATGTCTTACCATTCTCTCTCTTTGCCCAGGTTGTGTAGCCTGACCTGTGAAACATTGTGAAGAAGGAAGATCGCAGTTTCAGGGAAGATGACTCGATAACACCACAGAACAGGTTTGTAAATTCCACAATAATTTGTGAAAAGGCCAGGTGATTACAGATGCATTTTGCCAAGACATGCAAAAATTAAAAAAGGGAAAGAGTGCAATTCAACTTAGTAATGCAGGTACTGTTTACAAAACAGTAAAAACAGTGTCAAATGAAGTAGAGTCTGGAATCATACAGGATTTAGTCTTCAGATTGGCTTTTCAGATCCACAAAACTGAAAATTCATAGCAGCAGATCATGAACCTGCAGCATTTCTTCCTGAGCAACAGAAAGAGAATTGCCTCCAAGATTCAACTTCTAACTTGAAAAAACTGGCTTGTTTTGACAGTGATTTTTCCTAGAAGTTTTATTTACTGCATTTAAAAATCTATCTTTAGTGCACTTTCAATTTTTCCCTAACACCCTTTCAGTGAGACCTTTATTCTTCTTGCCAACTAAGGATTTTCAGCCAGTGTTTTTTGCAGAAGTGCCCAGAGTTGGTGAGAGGTTATTGTATGTATTTCCTTCTAAGCACTGACCCTGCATTTTAACTGAGCCTGGATTAGGCCAAATAAGCCAACTGGTTAGGTTGGCTGAGCCATAGCGCAAACAGTAGGCCCTATGTATACACAAGTACCACATCCACAGATTCCACTAACCTGGAAAACAATCGATCTTAAGCATCCATGGATTGTGGTATCTGAGAAGGTCCTGAAACCAATCCCCTATGGAGACAAAGGGCCTACTGTATACTACATAAGCAATTCAGATTTTGTTTTCTGAAAATAATACTTATTGAGATAAAGCACCATAATTAATGAATATAACGTGAATATTTCTATCTTTCATTTCCCCACCTGATTTTACAAGAGGATTTCAAATGATAGTTATTGTTTCACATGTGTAATTATGAGATATTACAACTTAGAGCAAGATTTTATATTTCCGTATGGCAAGAAAAATTTGTTCATCTATTCGTTTGTTCAACAAATAATTAAAGAATATGTTGTTGGGCTAGGCACTGGTGATACTGCAGTGAAAGTAACACAATCCAACCCCTCAAAGAGCTGAAAGAATATGAAAATGAAAGATATATGAAAATGTAGATCAAGGATTCCAAGCTTGGCTATTGTAACCAGAAATGACCTATTCAGTCTCTTGTTTCTCTAGACAGATTGCCCATCATGATTACATCCAATGGTGTCTTGGCCAAATAAAAGATGGTGGTAAATGGATAAGAGTCAAGGTGATTTCAAGCAGAAAGGGCCCTTTGAAATCACCTCCCAGAAACACTGAGGTGGAGAGATAGGGAGTGACTCGTCCAAGGTCATGCAGCTTGCAGGTCAGAAGCTGGAGATGGTTGGGAATCTGCTGGATGTGTGTGCTGGTGAAGGGCAAGGCTTGAGAGGAAGACTTTGCCTTCCTCTGGATTCAGCACTTGCAAATCTGGAAGACAAATGTGACATCAATGTCATCACCATTCATGCACTCTCAGCTTTCTTCCCCTGAGACTTTTCTGAAGAACATTCTTTCCTTCCAAGAATGACTTTCCATTGCTGATTTCAAAAAACCATAGATTTTGTTTCCACCTCTGTTGTTTTGTTGTTCTTGTTTGCTCTCTGATTTGTGTTGTGATTATCTTGTGTTTGCTTCTCTATTTAATATCAATAGTTTCTATGAAAAAGGAGGACTGTTATTAAATAATTGGAACTCTGAACCCAGAAATAAAATTAAGTAAAAGTTTTCCAAACTTTTCACCCTCCATTTCTACAGAGGCTATATGGCTTGACCTAAGAAATATTGCAGAAAGAATATCCAAGTTTAAGGGCCAATGACTGTAACTACTGCAAAACAGGCCTCTAAGTTTCACAACATCCTGTGAAAAGGCCAGAGGATAGCCGATGAATTTTGGTCAAATTTGCAAAAATAAAGAAAAATAATACTGTATTCCTGCCTGCATTTTCTTCTTGACTGGCACCAATGCTCTTAGAGGCAGGTCAGTAAGTCAAGATGCCCAATCTATTTACCAAACCAGGGTAGCTTGCCAGACCACACATGGCTCTCCAGCCCAAGTTTTCAAGGTAAACATATCTTTTATATAAAGGCCTCTGCTTCTCAGAGGGGAGATGTGGAGAAAGTAGGACAACTGTGTAACTTATCCTCCAAACCAGAACACTTTTGAAAGTGAACGGAGCAATAGTAATTATTCCTAGACAGAAGATATGAAGTAGAACTGAAAGAGCTTTGGATTTGAGATCAGCCAGACCTGGGATGGAATCTGCACTTGAGACCCTACAGGCTGAATTGGTACCTTTCTGTGTAGAAGAGGCATCATAACACCACGTGCTCTGCAGGTCATTGTTTGAGATTTGCTGGTTATGTATTTAAAAGTCCTGGAACATGGTAAGCTTTCAACTAGAGTAGCCATAGCTAACATAGCAAATCTATGAGGTGGGTTATTAGTGTCCAGTTAAAAAGTTTAGGAAATTGAGGCACAATGGGTTAAATAAGTTGCACATGGCCACAAAGCCAGTCATGGCAAAGCTGGTAAGTGCCAGACCGACTGTTTATCTTCATCATCTGTTCATTTCCCTTCTCTGCTGTCTGGCCTCTTCATATATGTGAAGTGTGTAATGTGAAATCCATATGTATGCAAGCTATGTGTTCAGTCAACCTGGTAGCATGGTCCAGAGTAGTTTGCGGGGAATGTTTCAAGGTAAAGTGAGGGCGGGGAGGGCTGGAAGCATGTGACACTGTGAACTTCTCAGGATCAGGTGTGCTGGACCATGGTCTTGAGCATTGGCAGGACTAGTTTTCTTTCTCCCTTCTCTTTGCAATGCAAAGGTAAGTGCCCTGAGGTTCACTTGCAAAGCCATCATGAAAAACCCGTCCTGTTAAGATCAGTTTCTTCATCTATAAGTGAGGGTGTTGTGGTGAATGACACCTCTCATGCTGCTGTCTGTTCTCCAAGACCAAGTTCTTCTGTTTCACTTCAGCTTATGAGTCGACTTCTGGCCACACCTCTGAGGACCTGGAAAGCCTGGCAAGGCCCTGCATTGCCCTGTCTCCCAGGAGGAGTGGGCTTGCCTTCTCCCTATACTGCCCCAGGAAAGAACTGGCATCCTGGGTTGTGTGGGTATGGAGCGGATTCCCACACACCCACACCTCGGCCAGCCAGAGAGACTGACCACCCATGCTCAGGCTTGCCCTGGCCACATCAATCGACAGCATGGGTGGCCTCATTGTCAATGCAGGCAGAGCTGTCCACCAAGATTAGCGGGAGAGCCACAGCAGCTCTTGCCCAGCTCCTGGTTCCTGTGGGTTCTAGTGCAAGGCATTCATCTCACAACTCTTCCGGCAGCTTGTTAGAAAGAAGCACTCTGAGAAAAGCAACAAAATCTCCTTAAGGGGAAAAAAATCTGTTCTGGCAAGATGTTCTGAGCATGCACGTGAATCAGACTTTGGAAATATCATAAGTAGGAAGCCCCAGAGAGATACTGTAATCGTTTTCATTCATTCATTGGTGTATTCAGTAAATGTTTCTTTAACATCTACCATGTGCTGGATACAATACTACATGTCAGAGATTGAAAGATGACTCAGACATGAACTTAAAATCAAAACAAAAATGAAACCTCATAGACAATATAGGAGCAACTATTTTAAAAAGATTATTTCTTTGTAAGTCAAAATGCAGTGATGATATTTATAAGTGATTACGGGACCCCAGAGGGGAAACACTGAAGGCACATTCTGCTGAGGAAGGGCAGAGCACACAATGGCCAGAGATGATGTCTTAGGCAAAGAAATTCATGACAAAGGTCTTATGGTAGAAATCAGATGGGTGAAAGCAAGTTGAGAAAGGGTAATATAGACAGAGACAAGAGACATCTGGGTATGATCCATATTGATAGGTGTGTGGCATGGTGTATGGAGGAAGGAAGACCAAGAAATGGGGCTGGAGAGACAGACAAAGACTAGCTCATGGAGGACCATATGAGCCAGGCAATAAATGTGGCCTCTATCTTTTGGGGAATGGGAAGCCATTGAAGTGTTTTAGGTTAGAATGTGTTACACAGAGGTCTGTGTCATGGAAAGGCCACTCTGGCAACTGTGCACACACAATGACTCTGAAGGAGGCCTGAAAGCAGAGAAACTAGTAAGGGATCCATGTCGCAACCCACTGCAGGGCAGTGAGCCCCCAGTTGAGTGCAGAGTCATAGAGGGAGAAAGGGCTAACAGGACTGACACACAATGCATTAGTCACAGAGCAGAAAGGAGAAATCAATTCTCCTGCTTCCTAAGCCAATGCTTTTCTAGTTCCATAATGATGCGGTTCTCAAAGGAAAAGAAAAGTTCTAAGGAAGAAAACACTAGACTAGCTCTAGACGAGCTCAGCAAACTGGCCCGGTGACACTTCCCCAATCAGCTAGAGCTTCGGAGGCTCAACTTCCTCATCTGTAAAATGGGATTATTGCCATTATATCCCAGAACTGTTACAAGGGCCAGGTGCAAAGAGTGCTGAAAAAGGTTTTGTAGAGGAAGATGCAGATCTAAGGGACTGGTTTATCATTTTATTTACAAAGTCCGTGTGGCATAGATGATTAGGAAAAATACCTAACAAGCACATGTTTTAGGTAAATGTCTTTGCTCTCATAGTCTTTTGCACCAAGAATGCTGCCTGCATTTTAGGAGTGCTATTCAAATGCTGCATTTCATATACATACATTTACCTAAGCCACATCTTCATTGGCAAGCATCAGCATTATAAATATAAAGCTCCCTATATTGCAAGTTTTTTATGTCGAAAATGTAATTCAGTTTTCAGAAGTACGACTGATAAATATATTCAACAAAACAGCTCTTCTGCATAAATTAATATATTCTGAAGTTTTCTCTCAATTTAAAAACATAGATTTGCCCCTATACAGTGCAGAGGAAGCTGTTGTCAAACATTCTTCCTTGGCCATTCAGAAAGAACAAGATGGCCCAAGCCCCACAGAGCATTTGTCACTGAGCGGCTGCCGGTTCGTTTGCTCTCTGCACACCTGGCTTGTTCCATCTTTTGTGATCTGAGCTGTGGCCTTTGCCTCTTGTTACTTTGATTTGGGTGGACTTTTGGGGCTTTACTTAGTCATGAGCTTGCATTTTCTAGGAGCTTTGTTTACATTCCTGCTTTCAGAGTTTCTTTCTGTCTCTAAAGTGAGAAATGGGCTACCTCTATCTTTTGATGTCCTGGAGAAGAAAATTGTGACTTGCATGGATGACAGTAGCTACATTTGTGTGTAGGTGACAAGTAGCATCAGGCTTACATTTATCTGAGCACAGATTAGGCCACATAAGCCAATTAGATAGGTTGCTTTGGCTCCAACAGTTACCCTTGCAGTACTCCTCTCAATTTCAGGCATCATACTGAAAAAGCCTTGCCCACACCCACAATTCTGTTACAAGTGGGGTAACAGGTTTGCTAAGTAGTCCTACAAGCACATGAGCATAGGCTGACTTCATTGGGTGTACTGTGTATGTGTGACATGTCTGCATGTTCATCTTGGTGAACAATTATCTCTCTCTTTTTTTTTTCTTGTGTCATTTAGTTTATTATGTACAATGCAATGTGAGGGCATTTCTGCATTACATAAATGAACATAATTATACTTTTCTTACAAAATAGGAATTATATTATTTACTCTTAAAAAATCACAGGATTATTTTCCTCTTTTTGTTTCAAAACATTTGTTTTTAGGTGGATAAATTTTACTAACTTAGCTCATTTTGAAATATCTTGTTCATAGAGCCACTTTTCTTTTTTCACATTTATATGGGACTTTAAGGTTTATAAAACAGTTTCACATTTTTTTCTTTGTTTTTTCATATGTTTCTCACAATGGCCTTAAACTGCATCTCCATTAGACAGATTAAAAAAGTGAGACTCAGACAGGAAAAGTGATTCACCAAAATATCCACTATCAGATGGTGCTAGGGCTTGGGCTCAAACCTAGGTCTGTCTGACTCAAAGTCTGAGTTGATTCTACATGTAGCCAGCTATTAGAGGGGTGTTGAAGAAAGAATCTACAAAAAGGAAAGTCCTTTGCAGAATGAAAAAGCCCAGATAGGTGAGAGTGTCCAAATGTTCACTCTTGAGAACAAGAATTTTTGAGGAAATCAACACTGTGTCTCATGGAAATTCCAAATTCCTAAGAAGCTCTAAGAATGGATGGACCAGGATGGGATGGGCTCATCATGGATGCGCCTTACAAATAGTTTTGCAAAGGAAACTGAGGATGTTCTGTCCACTGGCGTCAAGAATAGATGCACATTCTGTCCTGTGAATAAAGGATGGTATTTCAGTCTCTGCTGCTGAGAACTGATGAGCACAGCATACTGAGCTGACTTTTGGGTTGAAAGTGTTGGGAGAAATAAAAATGCTCTTCAGACTGTAAATACTCATATATGTTTTACCTTCCAAATCTTTATCCAATTGGCATAGGCATTTTTTATCATTCATTTTTTCATATCATTTCAGAGAGGTCAAATAAAAAGAATAAAAGCTTACCTTAAAGTGACACTGATACTTTTATAATTTATCTTTTAAAAGAAAATTTCCTGGGCTATGTGTCATAATTGAAGTGCTTGATTCTAAGGGCGTGGGTTTTTTGTTTGATGTCTCAGTGATGCAATGGTTTCATCAGTTAAGTGGGAATGGCCTCTTCCAGAAAGCAGGGAGCTGGTTCAGACAGTGGTTTGTGGGTTCTTGCTGTTCCCAGGACTGTGATGTGAACCTAGCTGGCTGGCATACCCAGCTGGTCTAACGTTATCTGAGCCTGTAATGGAGTAGCACTTTGTACTCAGCCGAGTCCATTTCTGCGTGGAGATTTCTCAGATGCAAAACAATTGCATAAGCTGCTGCTAGTTAGCTTAATTGGCACATTCAGGTTAGTCATGTAGACGAGGTTCTTTTTATATTTTGCCAATCTTTCGTAGTTTAACAGGACTGTTCCCATGTTATGAATTTCAAGTAAGTGTTTCATGGTGTGATTAGAATCTAAGTAGACTATGCTCAACAATTACCTGTGAACACGTTGACTCTTGTGCCTGATGGTGGATAAAGGGAGTTCAGAAGGCACTTCTATGCCCCCTTCATTGCCTCCTTGGAGCAAGTGGGAGACCAGATGTGCTGGGGCTGAAGCTCCATGGAGCACTTCTGGGAGGCTGGAAGCTGTGACATCCTGAGCCTGTCCAGACTCAGTTCCTTTTTCTGCCACCAGCCATCATCAGTCACCAAATGTGCTGCTTCTTTATATTCTTGGACCCTTAAACTTCTCTTTGTCTCCAGGAATATCACTTCAGGCCACTGTCTCCCTGTCTCTGTCCCAGATGATGGAAATTGACTCCTAACTCAGTCTGCTTAACCCCACCTTCACAAAGTACTAGGGTGATCTCTGGAAATGCAAATCTGAAAATCTCACTTACAGACTCTTCTTAGGTGGTTCCTCACTGCCCCTAGAATGGGCATAGAAGAATGTTTAAACAAACTTTCATGGCCTGGGCTCCAACTGCTTGTAAAACCTCATTTCTCTCCACTGCTGTCTTTCTCTTTAGACTCCAGAGACCAGTCCCCATGGGGGTCAAGGAGCCATTCAATCTGTTAGGTAGGAAGAGATTTCTTTTGGCTTCTTGGGCAGGGTTACATGGTGGGACATCTGAGGGGTTTACCTCTAGGAACTCCCCCAAGTTTTCAAAGTAAAGAAAGATCCAAAGCCAGAAAAGATCCCTGTCTACCTCTGGGGGAAAATGTGGAAGGGAAGAGGAGGAAAGTCACCATTTTGAAGTAGCCCAGAGTGGCCTCCATGACGAAGACCTGCTATCCAGAAAAAGACTCTAAAGAGCCTAATCTCAACGAGGGTGAGGCCGTTCCTCTCACTCCAGCCCCTTGGCTTCCTGCATCACCTAAAGAGGGAAACAAGCTAAGAAAATACAGTCAGTTAGGAATCTCTTGTGGATTGCTAGAGGCATGGGAGTCTAAAGGATTAAGGAAAATGCTGTCTGGAACTGGGCTCATCTGCAGGATCAAACTGTGGCTGTCCTGCAGGGGTCAGACTCCCACTTGCCTCAATGTAACCTCAGTCCTTTGTTAATTTCTAACTCAGAGCTTCTTCTATTCTACTGTGCACTTCACTAAAATGTGAAGTATCAGTATCTCGGGGTGGGGAGGGAGGACTCCTATGAGAAGAAAGGCCCCAGGGAAAAGCCTCATCCACATCAATAGCACATCCAAGGTGACTACAGGGAGGCCAGCCACAGCCTTCCTGGCTCTCACACTCACAGACACCAGTAATAGATTCTTCTCTCATAGGCAATCTATGATAGATGTAATGGCTAAGTTTATGTGTCAACTTGAGCATGCTATGGGACACCCAGATTAAACATTATTTCTGGGTTTCTCTGTGAGGATGTTTCCAGATGATTAGCATTTGGATTGGTGGATTCTGTGAAGTAGATTGCCCTCCCCAATATGGGTGGACATCATCCAATCTGTTGAGGGCCTAAATAAAACAAAAAGGAAGAGGAAGAAGGAATTCATCACTTTTTGCTTCTGGCCTTCCTGCTTGAGCTGGGACATCAGTCTCTTCCTCCTCTTAGACTGGAATTATACCACCAGCTTTCCTCAGTCTCCAGGTTGCAGATAGCAGACTGTGGGACTTCTCAGCCTCATAATTACATAAACCAAACCCTCATAATAAACCTTCTTTTATATCTATGTCTATCTATCTCTATCTATCTATCTATCTATCTATCTGTCATCTATCTCTATTACTGTATCTATATCTACCTCTCTCTGTGTGTCTGTCTCCTATTGGTTCCGTTTCTGTAGAGAAACCTGACTAACACAATAAGGGTCACTAAACAGGGGTCTAAAACCCAGAATCTATGCAGACTTTTGGCGTATGGACACATATGCAGTTTTTTGAGGTCATAAGATCTATTATGGTCTTTCAGATTTCTAAGGGTTTGTTAACCAAAAAAGGCAAAGTACCACTAAAAAGAAGCCCTTTCTTTGAAATGTGCCCTGGGAGGAATGTCCTTTAGGAAAACTATTGAAAACAAAATAAATCCATCTACTATGCCACAGAAAAGCATCTTTCATGAGATGAGATGTAAGCCAGAAACCATAAAGGAAACAACTGGTATATTTGACTATGTATAAAATCAGAAGAGTCTTCATGGCACAAACTGTGGCCTTCCCCTCAACACGTTCCACATTGCAACCACCACAGACAAGGCTGACACATGCATAATAACTTGGAAAAATCATTTGTAACATAAATGGCAGGGAAAGAATAATATCAGTAACCTACTGTAGTCCCCCTTTATCTGGCTTCACTTACCCATAGTAAAATGTGGTCTGGAAATAGGTGGGCATAGTATAATAAGATATTTTGAGAGAGATGAAGAGAGACCATATTTGTATAATTTTTATTACAGCATATTACTATACTTGTTATTTTATTATTCGTTATTATTGTTAATCTCTTACCATGCCTAGTTTATAAACTAAACTTTACCAAGGGTATGTGGTGTAAGAAAAAAACAGAATATATAAGGTCCAATACATCTGTGGTTTAAGGCATCTACTTGGGGTCCTGGAATGCACCTTCTCGGATAAGGGGGAACTACTGTCTAAAGAGCTACTGCAAACCTATCAGGAAAAATCAAATTTCTCAAAGAGAAAAAGAGGGATAAAAAATCTCAACCAGTCTAAAGTCTAAAGAAAAATGCAACTGGTCAGTAAATATAAAAAGTCATTCAACCTCACAAATCATTGAAGTTCAAAAAATATATGCATCATTTTTCATGTAAAGAATTGACAAGGATTTAAAAGGCAAGCAAAACTGATATTGACGAGTGTCTAAAGCACTTGCTCTCCACCCTGGCTGCACAATGCAGTAACCCATAGAAATTTATGAAATATTGATGCCAACATCTGCTTCTGACCATGAAGGATGAACTGTTATGGGAACTGCCCTCTCACCATAAACAGCTAGAAAACCAGACAAATACATGAAACAACTGTTTTCAGATACTGGGAAATAGCAGAGCAAGCCTGTTATCCCTGAGAGAAGAGAAACAAATGAGGTGAGCCCTACAATTGCCCAGTTTGCTGCCTGGAGGCAGTTTCAGTACATAGTGCAGGAAAGAGAACCCAAACAAGACCCAGCAGTCTCACTGAGTTGAGGACAGAAATCAGAATTCCAGAAAGCCAACTTGCAGGCAAAATACTGGAAAAAAAAAAAAAAAGGGAAGCTGCAGAGAGAGGTCTGGAGATCTGCAAAGGGGCCAGCCCTAACTCTTTGACTGACTAGTTATCTCTTCATGCATGGGAAAAACTCGACGAAATGAGGGGAAGAGGAAGAAGAAACATCAGAAACTAGGAGGCTAAACAATTCTGGGAGCTCATGAAAATTGGTTAATAGTTGATATAGTCATCCAAAAAGTATTGACTTAGTAATAGGGTTAAATTAGCCCTAGAATAAAAGTTGCTTTAGGTTCTCCCAAAACAAAGTTTAAAAGCAATCCTAGAGAGCGTCAAGCTTATGCTAAGTTACTCAACTACATGTCAGGAAATAAAGGAGTTCATGTTAAAGAATTATAACAAAACCCAGAACCTAACAGCACAAAATACACAGCGTTGGGCATCTAGTAAAAATTGACAGGCTTAGCAAACATGCAGAGAAGCACAAAAATACAAACCAGAGCCAGCAGAAAAATCAATCAATAGAAATAGACACTACTAAAAATGACAGAGCAGATGATATTAGCAGACAGAACATTAAAACAGCTATTATAAATTTACATTAATAATTCAAGAATGTAAAAAAACATGAACATGATAAGAAGATAAATGGAAGATACTAAAAATACCAATAAAACTTCAGGAGATGGCTGGGCATGGTGGTTCACACCTGTAATACTAGCACTTTGGGAGGCCAGGAGTTTGAGACCAGCTTGGCCAACCTGGCAAAATCCCATCTCTACTAAACAATACAAAAATTAGCCAAGTGTGGTGATGCACACCTGTAATCCCAGCTACTCCGGAGGCTGAGGCATGAGAATCACTTGAATCCAGGAGGCAGAGGTTGCAGTGAGCCCAGATCTCACCACTGCCCTCCAGCCTGGATGACAGAGTGAGACTCTGTCTCAAAAACCAAAACAAAACAACAACAAAAAAAAAAAAGAAAAGAAAACTTTGAGAGATGAAAAAGACAATATCTGACAAGAAAAATACGGCCAAAGGGATTAGCAGCACATTAAACATGTGGAAGAAACCACCAGTGAACATGAAAACAAATAAATGGAAACTATCCAAAATGAAACATAGAAAGAAAAAGAATAAAAATAAAGAAATAACACAGCATCAGTGACCTGTGGAACAATATCAAGTTGACTAACATACATGTAAGTGAGTTCACAGAAGGAGAAGACAAAGATGTGGGGAGGAAAAGGATGTTTGAAGAAATAATAGCTGAATATTTTTTCTAAATTTGCTGAAAACTATAAGCACACAGTTCAGAAAACCTCAATGAATCTATTCAGAAGAAACATGAGGAAAAACACACCAGAGCGCATCACCATGACATTTCTAAACAACAGTGATGAAGAAAACTTTTTGAAGCTGAGAGAAAAAAAAAAATCCATGTCATATAGAGGAACAAAAAATTACAGCAGACTTAGTACAAAAGTTATGAAAAACAGAAGACAATGGGAAATACTTTTAAGGCAGTAAAAGAAAAAGTGTAAATCTAGAACTTACCAAGTGAATTTTAAAAATAATGATGGACTGAAAACTTTCCAGACAAAGAAAAATTGAAAAAAAATTATTGGCAGCTGACTCACGCTATTAAAAAATGTTGAAGGAAGTAACAGTGTTTAGGCAGTAGGAAAATGGTATCAGATAGAAATGTGGATCTATACAAATGAATGAAAAGTATCAGAAATGATAAATATACAGGTAAATATAGAAGATATTTTCTTGGCCAGGCACAGTGGCTCATGCCTGTAATCCCAGTACTTTGGAAGGCTGAGGTGGGCTGACTGCTTGAGCACAGGTGTTTGAGATGAGCCTGAAAAACATGGCAAAACCCCGTCTCTAAAAAAAAACATAAAAATTAGCCAGGCATGGTGGCATGCACCTGTAATCCCAGCTACTCAGGAGGCTGAGGTTGGAGGGTTGATTGAAACTGGGAGGTCGAGGCTGGCTGCAGTGAGTCATGACTGTGCCACTGCACTGGGTGACAGAGAAAGACTTTGTCTCAAAAAAAAAAAAAGGATATTTTCTCTTTTTTGCTTACAAAATTTCTTAAATTATAGGGATGTTTAAAGTCAGAGTAATATGAATAACAATATGTGGGCTTTAATAGTTTTAGAGTGTGTAACAGCAATAACACCAGGGACTAGTGCGGAAAGTAGTAGTAACTAAAAATACATTATAGAGAAAATGGAATCCTAAAATATACAAAATCATCAAAATATAGTAAAAAAGAAAAAGATTAAAGAATGGATGAAATAAGTAGAAAATTGATAGCAAGCTAGTAGATTTAAACTTAACTTCATTGATAATTGCATTAAATGAAAATGATAGAACACTCGAATTAAAATGCAAAGATTATTAGACTGGTTAAAAAATACAAGCCCCAACTGACTCAAGGAAATGCTTTCCATAAGAAACCTGCTATAAATTTAAAGTATAAATATGAAGATACACTTAAAGTAAAGAACAACAACAACAAAATAACACATAAACATTTGTCCATAGAAAAGTGGAATATGTATATTGATATTAGGCAAAATTTCAGAACAAAAAATATTACCAAAGAGAGAAGGACTTTCACAAAGTTATTAAGGTAAATTAATCAGGAGGATATAACAATTCTAAGTTTATATAAACTGAATACCATAGCTTCCAAACATATTAAGATAGAACTGATAGAACTGCAACAATACACAAATCTGCAATTATACTTAAAGATTTCAACACTTGTCTCTCAGTAATTAATTTAAAAAATAAAAAAAGTATTAAGGACAGAGTAGACCTGATCTATACTGTATACCAATTTGACCAAATTGAAATTTATAGAGCATACAACTAAAAAGCAGTGGAACTAACTAAAAATGGATGATAGACCTAAACATAGAACTGGAAGTATAAAACTTCTAGAAGAAAATAATTTTTGTACCTTTGACATGGGCAAAGATTACTTTGAAAGCCACAGACATAAAGGATGAAAAAGTATGGAAACTTGATTTCCTTTTTTCTTTTTGAGATGGAGTCTCACTCTGTCACCAGGCTGGAGTGCAGTGGTGCGATCTTGGCTCACTGCAACCTCCACTTCCCAGGTTCAAGCAATTCTCCTGCCTCAGCTTCCCAAGTAGTTGGGACTACAGGCATGTGCCACCATGCCCAGCTAATTTTTTGTATTTTTAGTAGAGATGGGGTTTCATCATGTTGTCCAAGATGGTCTCAATCTCCTGACCTTGTGATCCAACCACCTCAGACTCCCAAAGTGCTGCGATTACAGGCGTGAGCCACCACACCTGGCTAAAAATTTGATTTTCAAAAAAATTAAAATTGTTTATCTTTTAATAAATAGTGTTAGAGAAATGTTAGACATTAAGAGAAATGTTTGCAAAACATATATCTTACAAAGCACTTATATCCAGAATACATTAAATATATGTGTATATTAAGAATAAATAGAAAATTCTATAGTTCTACAAAAGGAAGACAAGTATTCCAATTAAAAAAAAAAAGTTTGGAAGAAAACACTTTATGAAAAAAGATACATGAGTGGTAAATGTATACATGAAATACTCTACATCATTAGTCAGTAGGAACATGCAAATTAAAACCATAATGATATAGCACTATATAACCTGTGGATTGACTAAAATTAAGAGTGACAAAATGAAACGCTGTCAAGGATGGGAAACACTGGAACATGTATTTCTAGAGGAAAAGCAAAATAACATTAAAAAACAGTCATTGTTTCTTATAACATTAAATATAGATTTACCTCTTAACATAGATTTACTTGGTCTTGAGATAGTATGTGAGCTTCACTTCCTTTTGTTTTCATTTTGTTGTAGAGCACTCCAGGTTACTCTAATAGGAAACCAGCGTTGCCAGTCCTACTTGTCAGCATGCTCACTCGCAGGCATGATTGGTGGGAAAGTACATCAGTGACCTTTTCTAGGCAGTTTAGTCATATGTATTTTAATTAAAGATACAATTATATTTTGATTCTAAGAATTCTCTTCTAGAAATTAATCTTAAGTATATAATCAAAGAAAGTTATTAAAATGTATATGTGGGAATATTCAGCACAGCATCCATTATAATACCCAAACAAGCTGGTAACAACTTATACTGCCATGAAACAAATATGGTTAAATCACAGTACATCCAAATGAATTTTTAAAATATTACAAAACACACATAGATTTCTATTTTTCATTTGGAAAAATTATCCATAATATTTTCAGTGAAAAAGTAAGTTGTGAAAAACATGTATAATATTTCATTTTTGTGACATTTTAATATAAAAGGTATATATTTACAATAAATGTGTGAAATGAAGGTCATGAAAATGTTAACGAGGTTACTTTCTAGTGGGAGGATTTCAGGTGAGCTTTCTTTGCATTTTAACACATGAACTTCACACAACATGCAAGTATATTTATTATCAGAAAAAATCATAAGCTAAAATAAGGATTAAACAATGAAGAACAAATCACTCACTTTTTTGAATTATTTATCAAATGTTCTCTAGGTGCCAGGAACTCTGCTAGATGCTGGAGATCGACAAATGAATAGGAGTTTGATGACTGAAGCTCAAATCTCATCTCTTTCACTTGCTAACTCAAGCACTGTCAGTCAAGAGCAATGGTTCTATCTCCACTTCCTCATCTGTAAAAATGGGCCTAATAGTTCATATCTGATAAGAGCATTATGACAAATAAGTGAGATAATGGACAAAGGGGCTCTTTCCCCACTCACCTTTGATCTCTGAGAACAAGGAGTGTTCCACGCCCAATTCTGAGGACACATAGATACAGTCAGGCAGAAAAGGTCTTGATGTTTCTGAGGCTCCATTCACTTCTATGTGACACAGAAGTGGAGACAAGAGCCAGTGGACCTGTAGGGGAGGCACCCTGGAGACAGGGGAGATGACTCTGGAGTGGAGGCTAGTGATAGACAGCCCAGCCCACGGGTCTGATGGGAGATATGCCAGAGATGCAGAAAGGTCTCCATGGTCATTAAGAGGGGATGGGGGGCTCGGTCAGCAAGAAGAGCCACTGATCCCTGGTCAAGCCAAATTTTAAATTTGCCAAATAAGAGCGTTAAAGCACAAAACACGCCTATCAATAACTATCATTTCACAAAATAAGGAGTTTCAAAAAAGTGAGACTGGTATTACCTCAGAATCAAGAAACATGCTTTTAATAAATCAAATCAGTTCCAACTAATTTAGCTTTTTGAACAACCTGCCATGGTGCACTTCTTTTGTGTCATTTAGCCATGCACCAGTTGAAACTTGGCAGCATGGACCAGCGCAGGTCCCTGGGCCCACGCTCGGAAGCCACTGTTGTGTGCTGTGTTGTGAATCCTAAAATTGACGGAGCTTTAAAACATCTTAAGTAGAGAAGTGACATTGTCGAATGTGTAAGTTAGACAGCTCTTTCTGGCCTCCATATTCAGGAGGGCTTGCATTTAGGGGAGTGAGAGGCCACTTAAGAGGTTCTTTTAATCATCTAAGCCAAAGGCCTTAAGGCCCTGAGTTAAAGAAGACCATTGGTTATTTCTTTAATGAGACAGTTATTTTGACTTTTTTTCCTTTTCTAGTTGAAATAAACCTTGCATTTTCTTTTTAAATCACCAATAAAACACTGTGTAAGGTCATTGTTTTCCATATTTTGGGTAATTGCTAGAGGCACCATGCTTAAGACAGGCAAGTGTTAGGCAAGTATTTCTATTTGATCCTTTTTTGAAGACTCTTCTTTGGGCCTCTGGAAGATATTTTACGGATTTCTTATACTCAATCTTTAAGATTAGTGCTTCAACTTCCTCTTTATTGGTTAGGTGTTTAGAACACATTGACATATCTTAAAGGCAGTTTTGCTCTGGCTTGGATGTGTCACTATGTATCAGGTTTGATTAACAGTATTGAAAAATTAATAGATTATTATAGTTGATCTTTTAATTAACATATAGAAATGCATTTTAAAGACATGTTTTCTAAACCAATTTTTCCCTCCTCTAAACAAAATGAGTTAAGATTGAAGAAGTGACTTGAAGCATGAATTTGTTCTCCTTTATGCAAATGCAGGTTTTAGTGTTGAAAATTGAAATTGTCTTGAAAAATTAGTTCAAAATAACTTTTACCCAGGTATCTCAGTTGCTGCCTTATAAATGAAGTGTAAAAATCCACTTATTCAGTTATTGCCTCATAAATGAAGTATAAAAACCACTTAAGTTTTACCAGTTACAAAAGAGTTTCTGGAAAACATAGAGGAGAAATGAATTATCACCATCTCTTACCATTAATAACAGAAATGTGAGGAGGAGCATTAAAGCAAATATGATTGTTTTGTGGGTTTTAAAATTATTCCCTTGGCAATAATTAGCGTGATGGTGCTCTACAATGATTGAGAAATTAAAAATGCCTCCGCATGTGCCTTTGATTCTGTAGAATGGAAGTGTCTACATGTGGAGTAATGTCTTTGACTATATAGATTGAATTTTCTTTCAGCAAATATTGTAGCATATTTACTATATGCTAGGCAGGAAATATTTGTGTGGAGAGAGAGAGGACTAGAGGTAAATAACACAGGTTTTGTTTGGAAGGAACTCACTGTCTAGTGATTGGGTCAAGCATAAAATACAACTATCTATAATTATAAGGCAGAACTAAATGAAGACTGTATTTAATAATCATTGTGGACTATGGGCTTCCTGAAGACAAGGGCTGTCTCTTTATTTACAGGACTTCTAAAAGCCCCATCACAGAGGGGAAGCCCCATCACTGACAATGAGTGTTAATAAATCCTAGACTACAAACTCCATGACCATAAGGGTCGGGTTTTATGCATATCTGTACTCCCAGTATGTAATACAGACCGGGCACATTGTAAGTGCTCAATAAGACGTTGTGAAATTAGTGAACTCTGAATAAGTGAATTAGTGATTCAACACTGTGGAACATAGGAGAACTCACAATTCAACTAGACTGAGATGATGCAGGGTAATGAGGGGAGTCCTGAACAATTGTACGTCATGTGAAGCACAGGCCTTGAAGAAGAACCTCAGTGTCAATTCCATGTTTGTTTGCATACTCAAAATAGACCTCTAAAAATGCCTGGCGATAGGTAAATCAAACTGATTCATCTAGTATTCATCCCAGCTAGATGAAAATCCCAAGAATTACTTTCTAAACCTAGCAACCTGAAGTTAGCTTTGTAATTAAATAAAGCTCCTCACAGTGGCCTCAACTCTCCTCTCCAAACATCTTCCTTTATTCAGCAGCCACTACTCACCACTCCGGCTAGGCTGGTTTCCCTGCCATGGAGCTCGCCATTCTTCGTCCTGTCACAAGCCATTCACTGATGAGCCAGGGGAAGCCGCAGAAGTTTCCAGATCAGAGAAGTGCTGTGATCTAATTTGAGCTGTAACCACAATAAAGATAAGTTTTTATAATAGGATATTGGTTTAGGAGCTTTAACAATGAGCAAAATAAAAGTGCCTGAAACAAAATAGCCTTTTTTGTTTGTTTGTTTTTTGAGATGGAGTCTCACTCACCCAGGCTAGAGTGAAGTGCCATCATCTTGGCTCACTGCAACCTTCGCCCCCCAGGTCCAAGTGATTCTCCCGCCTCAGCCTCTGAGTAGCTGGGATTACAGGCACCAGCCACCATGCTCGGCTAATTTTTGTATTTTTAGTAGAGATGGATTTTCGCCATGTTGGCCAGGCTGGTCTCGAATGCCTGACCTCAGGTGATCCACCCACCTCGGCCTCCCAAAGTGCTCGGATTACAGGCATGAGCCGCCTTGCCCAGTCAGCTTTATTTATTTATTTATTTATTTATTTATTTGAGATGGAGTGTCGCTCTGTTGCCCAGGATGGAGAGCAGAGGCGTGATCTCGACTCACTGCAACCTCCTCCTCCTGGGTTCAAGCGATTCTCCTGCTTCAGCCTCCCAAGTAGCTGTGACTACAGGCACATGCCACCATGCCTGGCTAATTTTTTCTATTTTTAGTAGAGACGGGGTTTCACTGTGTTAGCCAGGATGGTCTCGATCTCCTGACCTTGTAATCCACCTGCCTCAGCCTCCCAAAGTGCTGGGATTACAGGGGTGAGCCACCACACCCGGCCCTTTATTTTTATTTCTCCTGTAAAAGTCTGAAGTGTAGATAGTTCCAGAAGTATAGGAAGGTCGGCTCCACAAAAGTCATCCAGGGACCCAGGCTCCTTCTATTTTGTTATCCCTATATTCACTGGGGTGTTGACTTCATCTGTAGGGTAAAATGGTCTCACTACCGTTGTGTACATGTTCTTACCAAAGAAAGAAGAGAAAGAGGTGGAGCACAAGTGGCATGATATCAAAATCGCATGTATCACTTCTACTCACATGTCTTTGGACATAACCTAGTCGTATGGCAAAGACGCAGGGAAAAATATCCTCTAGCTGAACAGTTCTGTGCCCATTGAGAACTTGGGGATTCTATTACAAAAAGGAAGAAGAGCTATTGGGAAATATTTCATTGTCTCTAACATAGTTTCCTTCCCTTCTCCTCTAAATTACAATAAGATTTATCATCTCAACAATGACACTGACCTCCTGATGTGTGAATATACCATCTAGCAAATAAAACAGTGTGTGTATTGAGAGTATGTGTGTGTGAGAGAGGGTTCAACATTTCTTATGTGCCTGGAGTGTTTCCATGCCACAGTAAGTGTTTCACATGCTCTATTACAACTAATTCTCATCAATAAAGGTAGATATTATATAATATATACCTATATATAAAATCTACAAAAGTGGATATTATTATTCCCAGTATAGTTAAGGAATAAATGTTCAAAAATTCATGACCACTGAACTACTAAGTTGTAGAAACTAGATTTGTACTCAGGTGTATTGCATTCCAATTCCCCTTTACGATAATGTTTTCTACATAATGTCATATTCTGGACTGACCAATAAACTTAAGCATCTTTTCCTCTTCTAACCCATGCAAGTAAAATTATTTTTTCCAGATACTTAATAATGATCCATGACTGCAGGAAAACTCAGCCCACACATTGTCTAACTTGTTGTCCTTGAATAGCTTGACATTGAATTTAATATGGTGCTTTATCACTAACCAATACCTGAGAAACGGTGGTAATTTTAGCAAATACTAGATTTCCCATTCCAGGGACCACACAAGGAAAGCTAAATCTTCTGGGGCTTTTTGTTTGTTTTTGTTTTTGTTTTTGTTTTTCAGTCACTTGAGACTGAAAACCAAACACTCTGTTTGGTTTTAACTTTCCAACTATCTTTTGGGGTTATAAAACTCTGCAAGTAAGTTCTGCATCATACATGGGAATTCATATTTATATTTCATAAACAGCAAGTGAAAATCACCCTCTTGGTTGCACACTGAGAATCCTGATCTATTAAACAGGTCCCCTGATCACTCCCTCCATGGGGCCAGGATGCAATTTGCTAGCAAATTGGAATCAGAATTGGGTTTTTAAAGAGAACCTTCCCACAGTTGTAAACATCCTTAATTTTTACAGCAACACATTGACTTCAAACCGGACTCCTAATTATTGCAATATTTCTTTTAAAAGCCTGCATTGTGGATTCGGCAAGCTTCAGACATCTGCTTCAAATCCAGAAATTTCTTTCCTTTCTCAAAAAGGTTGCTCTCCTCCAATTAGCCTCAACAGAGCAGCAGGAGCAAGTGGAGCTCTGTAGATGAGGTTTTGTATTTACTGCGCACATTCCAGCCTCACCCGCCTTTTCCCACATGGGACCATAATAACTGCTTTGCCTGAATGGTCCTAGGACCAAGTGGCTTTTGAACTACAAAAAGGAAATATCCTGAGTCTCTTTAAAATGTCTGCTTGCAAATCTTTGGTTTATCATAAGTAAATGCAGTTTACCTAAGACAACATATCCCCTGACATTTCTGATTTAAGTATTGGAAATGCATTTTAAGTATTTGAGAGAAAACTTTTCTTGGTGTTGTTGATGATGGCTATGTTGTTGTTACTGTTGTTGTTACTGAGGCCTATTTTTACACATCTGAAACACAAAATTCTGGAGGCTGCTTGGCTGAAGCTGGTGGTTGGAGGCAGCAACTATTATTATCCAAAACCAAGAGGCAGTGGTAATAATAGTTAAATTTGCCTTTCATCCCCAATAATTTCAAAGTTCCCAATAAATGGCTTTACATTAAATGCTAACAAGGTTAATTGAATTATTCCAACTTAAGTCCACCCTCTCCAAGAAGCCTATATTTAAAAATCATAGGTAGAGTCTTCAGAAAAATGTGGGCTTATATCTCAACTCTGTTCCTAATGTGAGTGACTTTAGAGGAGACTTTTACCCCCTGGGTTCGGTTTCCATAAGCCTTGGGACTCATTTTCCCCATCTTTAAATGAGGAGTATTAAGGTTTTTAAGGGTCAATATGAAACGTGTCTGTTTCATCAGTCAACCTCCAAGTTTA